>NC_000015.10:87501884-87653399 GCF_000001405.40 Homo sapiens | reverse complement strand
CCCATAGGTAGGAAGAATGGAATCATGCATGAATAGGATCTGGGTGGAAGTCATGGACTCTGAGCTTGCTAAAACCCAGGTTTTCTGTACCAATGTTTTTTTGGTCTCCCCTGTTTGTTTGTTTGTTTGTTTTTAGACAGGGCCTCACTCGGTCACCCAGGCTGGAGTGTAGTGGTGCAGTCACAGCTCACTGATCCTCAATCCCCCAGGCTCAAGCAATCCTCCCACCTCAGCCTCTCAAGCAGCTGGGACTATAGGCACACAGCACCACACTAGGCTAATTTTTGTATTGTTTTTGTAGAGACAGGGTTTCTCCATGTTGCCAAGGCTGGTCTTGAATTCCTGGGTTCAAGTGATCCATCTGCCTTGGCCTCCAAAAGTGCTGGAATTACAGGTGTGAGCCGCTGTGTCTGGCCTTGGTCTCCTTAAGGTTGACAAAGGATGAGATGCAGAGCCACAAAGAAAGACAAGACTGCCTCTGTAGCCATGTTTCTGAAGAGGAGCTGATGCGTGCCAGTGTCATTACTGTTGCCTGTGTAGAAAGCCCTGATGCTGACAGGCTGGTGTCTGGGGCACACTCTTATTGTGTAGATGGTGTACATTAGGATGGAATGACATTGGCAGAATTGTGGTTGAGAAGAAAGTGTAATGATAATACCATCAATATGATAAAGTGGAGGGAACACTATTAGCCAATGGCCTGGAAACACAAGAAATTTAAGGAGCATCCAGGCCCGATGAGCTGTAACTGCTCAAAGTATTTAGGCTGATAGAAGTCAGTCAGCCACCAGGGCTAGATGGCCCAGAATAGCACATAACATGGGAGGTAGAAATGGATAAGAGTAGAAGGCACAGTTATTTTGAAACCACAAAATTAAAAGCTAAAACAACAGTCCATTGAGTAGCAACTTGTCTGTGTGTTGTAGTTGAATATTCTGAACTGACAGCCTGCCTAACATAGCAGCATGTTTTGAGGTGAGAAGTGGGCCACTGTAATAAACACATTGCTGCAAACTGTATCTGAAGTAAATAACATTAGGTCTGAGGCTTCGAGACAACTAGAAATCAGACCAGGAGGTGAATAATAACTATAATATGCATTAGTTATTGAGTACTTACTTACCTTGTGCTTGGCATTTATTTTATCTTCAATCAACTACGCAAGACAGTAATCTTAGCATCACATCAGAGAGGTTAGTTATTTCCCAGTAGCAGTGGCAGCCCTGAGTTTTGAACCCAGATTTATTTGGCCTCAAATTCTGGGTTTGCACCATGGAGCATTTTCTCTCTCTGCAAACCAGTCTGTTAGTACAGCAGAAAATGATTGCATCTGCCTTCTGAAGAGAGTATGATTGGAGGTGTGACTGGGGCAATACAAGATAGAACTCACATTTCATAGATAAAGTGATGCCTGTCAGGTCTTGTAGGCCCCTGGGCCTCTCCTTGATATGACTTACTAAGACCTGTGACTCTCAGAATGGCCCTCTGAGTTGCCACATCACTCTTGACTGGAGAAAGAACACCAACAGCCTCATTTCATCGAAGTTCAGGTTTTTAATTAACTTGGCTTTTTTTTTTTTTTTTTTTTTGAGATGGAGTCTCACTCTGTTGCCCAGGCTATAGTGCAATGGCATGATCTCGCCTCACTGCAACCTCTGCCTCCCAGTTTCAAGTGATTCTCCTGCCTCAGCCTCCTGAGTAGCTGGGATTACCGGCATGCACCACTACACCCGGCTAATTTTTGTATTTTTAGTAGAGACGGGGTTTCACCATGTTGGCCAGGCTGGTCTTGAATTCCTAACCTAAGGTAATTCGCCCGCCTTGGCCTCCCAAAGTGCTGAGATTACAGGCGTGAGCCATCGCACCCGGCCGACTTGGCTTTCTTAAGACCTGGATTCCCTCATTTCTGTATTGGGTCCTTGGCACCCACATACGTGTACATACAGAGTTGCACCCATCCCTGTGTACTCATCTACCTTGCATGATAAAAATTCCATATTTTACTTTATTGTAACCTGTGGGTGTAGAAAGCTGCCTGAACCCCAGTTGAATCCTGTTCAAACCTGCCCCTTATCTACTGGGAGATTTTCAGGAACACAGTGATGTCCCCAGACCATCCTGCTCTTGTCTACCTAACTGTGGCTGCCTCCACTCGAACTCCTGTGCCTGTTCCACTGTAGCAACTCTATGGCATAATAGAAGCTGATCAGCCTGGGCTTTGAAAGGTGGCACAGTTATTTTACTATCTGTGAAACCGTGTAACTTAAGTTATCTTAGTCTCAGTTTCCTTATATGTGAAATGGGGATAAAGTAATACTTGCCACTAGAATTTATTAAGCATCTATTACGTGCCAGAAGCTGTCTTTTGCAAATTATCACATTCAACTTCACCATAACCCTATATCATAGCTCTTTTTTCTCTTCTTGGCTGAAGTAGGATTCTTCTATTCTGACGCCTTTTCTGATAAATGCAGAAGTTTATCATATTCTTTAGTCACTCCTCTCTGGATTATCCAACTGCCATTTCAAAGAGTCCTCAGTGTATTTGAGTTATTTTCTCTAGGCTCTCTTTCCCAGTCATAGATTTCTCCCTGTTCTCACCAACCATGCTGTTGAGATACCAGGGTACCACACAACTAATTGGCATTATGGGATTTCTACCTTATGGAACAAGATGGTCACACTT
The DNA here is from genome assembly GCF_000001405.40 of Homo sapiens. Taxonomy (NCBI): domain Eukaryota; kingdom Metazoa; phylum Chordata; class Mammalia; order Primates; family Hominidae; genus Homo; species Homo sapiens. The sequence goes on along the minus strand of NC_000015.10, from coordinate 87,650,713 downwards.
ACATCACCATGAACACAAAAATAATGCATTATGTCCACACAAAGATAGAGAATGGAGCATGCATCGCAGTGCGTATGGAAGGAAACCTGTAGTTGGTCACTTTATTTGGAATATGGAATTAGTGGAGCCAGCAGCATGGTAATCACACTGTTTGAGCAGGTTTGCTTTGCTGTTTCATGAAGAGATCAGGGGCTTTGCCTGTAACATCAGCAAGCTCTCAGACAGATGTGCACTGCTAGTCCCCAGGCAGGGAAAGGCTGTGCCTGACGCAAGTAAACCCCACTACTCTGATTTTCATTCCACTTTATAAATGCTTAATCAACACCTACTTTGTGCAGGCAAATGTACTAGATACTTAGGTGTAAGATAAGAAATGACCTTGTTCTCAGGAAGTTTATAATTTAGTGCATAGGTCAGGAAAACTTCTCTAAAGGGCCATGTAGTAGATACTGTAGGCTTTATAAGCTAAGAGGCAGTGTATAGTCTCTGTTGCAACTACTTAATTCTGCAGCCATGAAGGAAAATGGCTGTATTCATGACTGTATCAACAGGCAGTGGCCACGTCAGTGGCCAAATTGGGCTGTAGTTTGCTGATCCCTGCTTTATTGGGAGACATAAACATGTAAACAAACAGTTATATAAAATCATGTGTGTGGCTGGGCACGGTGGCTCATGCCTGTAATCCCAGCACTTTGGGAGGCCGAGGCAGGTAGATCATGAGGTCAGGAGATCGAGACCAACCTGGCTAACATGGTGAAACCCCGTCTCTACTGAAAATACAAAAAAATTAGCTGGTTGTTGTGGTGAGTGCCTGTAGTCCCAGCTACTTGGGACGCTGAGGCAGGAGAATGGCGTGAACCTGGGAGGCAGAGCTTCTAGTGAGCTGAGATTGTGCCACTCACTCCAGCCTGGGTGACAGAGCGGGACTCCATCTCAAAAAAAAAAAAAAAAAAATCATGTGTGTAATAATAGAGATATACAGGAGGTATAAAAGCAGTATGGAGAAGGCTTAGAGACTATATATGCCCCTTTAGTCTACAACAGGGTGTACCTCATCCTTGGTACACTGACATTGTAGGCCAGATAATTATTTGCTATGAAAAACTGTCCTGTGCACTCGAAGATGTTGAGCTGCACCCCTAACCTTTGCTAACTAGATGCCAGTAGCAACCTCCCACCCCAGGCTGTGGTGATGAAAAATACTTCCAGAGATTTCCAAATGTCCCTAGGGGAGGAAACCACCCCCAGTTGAGAACCACTGGTCTAGAGGCTACAATTGCCACGGCAAGAGGAGAAGTCAGGTGAATTCTTATCAAGAAGGTGACCCCTAATTAGGGTTTTGAAAGACGAATAGGAGTTTGCTATGCAGATATAAAATATGTGTAGGAAGAGTAGGAAAATGTAAGAAGAAGGCAAAGGTAGACAAAAGCAAATAGATGTGAAAAATTTAAGAAGAGGGCGAAGTAGACAAAAGCAAATAGATGTGAAAAAGTATAGTCGGATGAGGGATTTCAAACCATCACATATTGTTGGGTCAGAGTGTGTGTGTGTGTGTGCGTGGATATGTGTGTATGGAGTGGTTAGAGGACTAAGCAAAAGATGAAGAGAGAAAGACACAGGGGGAAGATCACAGAGGTTCTTGTGTGCCGGGCTGAGAGATTAGATGTTCCTCAGTATCATGAATTGTAACTTTTGAAGAATAGTGGATCATTTGTGAAGAGTGACTTACAAGGTACACAGGCGCTGTCAGGAGGTACCCTTGTAATTAGCAGAGCTGCACCCTGGCTGCCCAAGATTAAAAGCACAGGAGTGAAGACATGCTTGTGCACTCCCGGTGAGTCTCCAAGTGTGAGCCAATAAGTGAGTTTAAATGAAATTATAAGTATCAACCCAAGTGTTCTCAGAAATAACCACTCTGCGATGTGCTAGAACAGATTTTATAATTCTGTGCTGCTTACAAGATATTCTGGTATTTGATAAACTTAATAGAACAGTAGAGTCTATTGATGTTGCTGTACCGCTAAGCATAAGACTCCCCAGAATGTATGCAGAGAATAAAAATAAGTGTTCATGCCCAAAAGTGAAATAAAACAACCAGGGATCATTTACTGGCATGGTAGACACATTCCACTCCAATGCATTGACGTAAACCTACGTGGATGGCTTATTTCCAGGGGTTGAAGGGTCCTAGTATATTATTCAAGCCCTGGATGGGAAGAGAAGCCAGACTTATTACTACACTTTTAAAACTACGCTCTTGGGGAAAGCTCGGTAAACTTACTATCTTTACTTTATCAGAGGGCAAATAGAAGCTTGGAAGGGTAAAGTGACTCAACCAAGTTAGTATCTTAGATAAGACTGAAAATGAATGCCCTTTCGTAAATGCATTTTACTTTTCTTTTAAATGTTTTGTTTGAAAAAATTTTCAAACTTATGTGAAAGGAGGGAGATGAGTACAGTGAAGCCCCCTGTACCCAGCAACAATTATTCAAGTTTTGTCAATCCTTTGTTTTTCCTGGATTAATTTGTAGCAAATATCAAGTGTCATATTTCTCCACAAATATTTCAGAGGTTAATGTATTTTAAAAGATGTCCATTCTATAAAACTTCCCCTGTCCTTCAAGGAAGTGGCAAATGAAGCAATGTCCATTAAAAAAAAAAGTTAGTATGGCTTATGTCATTTTAAGATGAATTTATAGTTCCTTTTACATTAACTTAATATATTTCAACATACATTGATTGGATTTCTACTGTGACTTGGAACTCTAGATAACTAGGAAACAAATAATCATTTACTATTCTTGTCCTCAACTCCACAGTTAAAAACTAGGGAGACAGAAAGATAGATATGGATTGGAGAACTATCTTTACAGTCCAACAGAACTTGGTCCAACCTGCAACTCCTACTGGTTGTATGATGATTGTCATTTAGCTGGATGGCTCCAAGTCTCATCTCCCTCATATCTAAAATGAGGCCACATACCAATTATCTATTGCTGTAACAATGCTTCATAGCAAACCATCCAAGACTCAATGCCTTAAAACAATAAACATTTATTTTGCTAATACGTTTGCAGTTTAGGAATTTAAGTTAGATTTGGCTGGACAATTCTTTTGCCTTTCTCTGGATTCACTTACATATCTGGGGGTTGGCTGGTTGTGAGCTTATCTAGGATGTAATCTCAGCTCTGATTATAGTGACAAGCTTTGCTGCTGCAGCCATGTTCCTCTTCAACAGGCTAGCCTGGGCACATGCTCATGGACATCTCAGAGGGGTGAGCAGAAATACTGAAATGCTTTATAAGCCTCTTCTTGTATACCATTTGCTAACATTACGTTGATCACAACCAGTTGCAAGGATGAGCCCACAGGCCAGCGGTGAAATGATGCCCTGCCCATAGTGGGAGGTAGGGTTACATGGCAAAGGGTGTAGATACTGGGAGGGATAAGAAATTGTGGCCATTAGTGTAATCAACATATCAGAGGATCCTTATAGGACTTGCTGAGTGGGGTCATTATGAAGATTAAGTAAATTAACATTCATATAAGTGAAATGCATATAAAGTAGGTAAAGGGCTTAGCAGTGTTTGGCATACTATAAATACTCAACAGAAGTGAGCTATTAATAATTGTTACTAAAATTATTGTCATATTATTGCTGTTAACACTTCCAGATAATAGTAGAGCTAGTAGTATTAGGAACACAGAAAAGACTCGTTCTGACCCGGGGTGGAGAAGAAGGGTGTGTAAACAATGGGTCTTGTCTGTCTTTTTTTTTTTTTTTTTTTTTTTTTTTTTTTTTTTTTTTTTGAGACTGTCTTGCTCTGTTGCCCAGGCTGGAGTACAGTGGCATGATCTTGGCTCACTGCCACCTCTGCCTCCCAGGTTCAAGTGATTCTCCTGCCTCAGCCTCCCGATTCGCTGGGATTATAGCCACCCACCACCATGCTCAGCTAATTTTTGTATTTTTAGTAGAGACAGGGTTTTACCATGTTGGTCAGGCTGGTCTTGAACTCCTGACCTCAGGCGATCCTCCTGCCTCAGCCTCCCAAAGTGCTGGCATTAGAGGTGTGAGCCACTGCACCTGGCCTTGAATCTTGTCTTAAACAAGACTTTGAGGGATGGGATTTTGAATCTGGAACAAAATAACAAACAAAAATACTGACATTCCTTCAAAGACCCACATATTCTGTTGGGATTGACTTTGATAGGTGCCTGACCACTTGAAATAACTTGAAAGACCCCAGGAAGCTTTTCAACCCCTCAGTATCTCTTCCATTGCCCTAGAACCTTGTTTAAAATCTCTCCCAAGAGAATAAGCCCTCTGGATAAGATAATACCATCATCTCAAAGAACATGGGACGCAGTCATACTGTTTGTGTGCCTGTCATGGTTTTCGGTAGCAGTGGTGTGAAGCGTAACCCTTAAGAGAGGGAGCCAGGGCAGTGGGGGACAGGAGGACAGGCTCTGAGCAGCTCCCACAGAAGGAGTGAACTCTCCATGGCACTGGGGGTTTGGGCCTGTGTGTGGGATTCTAACAAATGGTGTGAAGGTTCTGTTAAAATGACCATCTTAAACTGGCTTTCCCCAAACGTAGGTCCTGAGATTTGAGTGCAAGTGTTTTACTTAGTATGTGCTCCCAGGAAACACTGGTAGGAGAAGTGAGCTAGGAAAGGGGAGGGACCCAGTAGAGGGGATGCTGATGAGCAAGGATACTGCAGTGAGCAACTGGGGCTCGATCCCAATAGAGTGACTGTACAGAGCATGCCCCAGTCCTGCCCCACCCCGATAGTGAGGAAGCAGGGTTCGTTATCTAACAACCCCAGCCTGTCAGAGGTTGAGAGCTGCTCCCAGGGGCATTTGCCCCCTGGCACTGTCATCTTGTCCCTCAAGCAGTCCAAGTCTATTTCAGTGGCCAGGGAAATCCTTGAGGCACAGTGACCAGTGTGTGCAGTAGGAAGCCACGGAGTGAGCTTGGGGACCCTCAGTGTAAAGGGGGTAGGAGTGAGGTCCCAACAGCAAGTCTTCCAGAGACTACAGATGGGATGATTTCAGTGTAGCTGTAATCCACCCCTCTTTGTGGGCTGGTCTTTCTCTTCTGCACCATTTCCACAAGCTATGTTTTATATTCTTGAGATATAAAATATGGTGTGGAGGAATTGCTTAGCTCTCCCCTCTCCTCATGCTTTTAAAAGTGGATGCTAAACATTTCCTGTCATGTGGTGCACCGAAGGATGGAGGGGATTACCAGCTGAGGCAGAGGGAGGTGTGAACATGACAGTAAACTCTGAGGGTTTATTTTTTTTCCCCACTACTGAAGTTTTTGATTATGACCGAAAGGCCTAACTAGGTGCAAAGAGTAAGTGGAAACTGTAGAAAAATAATCGGACCCCTTTACATAGATGCACATTCTTGATCTCCATTTTTATTGGTTTTAGATTTACTCTGCAACATAAATCATTAGAAGTATATCAAGTGGATCAATCTATTTACAAAATATTTAGAAGTAACAGCATGTGTGCAAGAAGGGGAGGGGAGCAGAGAGAGAGGCATGTGAACTTTTTGTAATGAGACTATTGGCCCTAATCGAATTGATCCACTTGAAAAACAAGCAAGAAAAAAGATCCTACAGAGATGACTGTATGTGAAAACAAGGGAATTGTTTGCAGGGGCAAAGAAGGGATAAATCATGAATCATCATGAAACAAGAGGGATGTTAAGAAGGGCAGACTAAAACTAGTATCTTTATTGTCTATTTTTAAGTTGTGCTGTCTTCCTTATTTGGAGGATAAGGTAACCGAGACTCAGAAAGGTTATATCACTAGTTCAACATCACACAGTGAAACAGGCAGAGCCAAAGGAAGGTAGAGAACCAGGGAGAGGCCAGCCTGTGTTAAGGGATGCAGGCAGGATTCCTCATGCTGTCCTAGGAGTCGTGGATGTATATCTACTCCCACTCCTGGGGGACTCGCAGCATGATGTCTTGAGGTGACCATTCATTCATTAATTCTATCCCCACACAATGGCTAAACAACAGGGAACAAGGCATAATCCTTTTCCTTGAGGCACCTCTGACAGCCAGCACTGTGATAGCTGCATGGCGGCTAGCCAGAGACCCCACTGAGTCCATGGGCATGGCAATCCTCTGAAGTGGTGGTGTTCCAGGGGGACATGGGGTGACATTTTTGCATCCTGTTTTATAATGTGACCTGTCACTGTGTCCTGGAGTAGAGTAAGCAGGTTCAGATAAATGGCTGGCTCTCAGGTGGGTAGAGTAGTAACAGGGAATCAGGGTGGTGGAGGCTTTGAAGTCCTGGAAGACAGGCAAAGTGATCAGCCAGTCTGTCCACTGATAGCTGTAACCCAACTACCAAGCTGGGAATTTAAAGGAGGCTTGTGAAGGCTGCGCAGGGAGAGACACATGGATAAGGAAGGGACCTATTCTTCAATGAGATCACTGCATGAAACAGGCTATTGAACTAATGGCTCTAAACTGCATTGCACTGGGAAGGGTCTTGGGGCTCTGGACCTGGATGAAGTAACAGGGTATTTATTGATAGGAGCTAAGAGAAAAATATTCTCACAGCGGGGGAAATGCCAAGCCTGATATTAGCCATAGAACACCATAATCAGGGCCAGTTTCCCATAAGGGAAACTTGGCCACAACACTAAATAACATCCAGAGGGGGTTGTAGGTAAGGACAAGGCCAAAGTGTCTTTAACCTTCCCTGTGTCAAGCCTCACTTAGTATGGGAGTGAAGAGGAGGAATTGCTACCATGGGCCAGAATCCCTGCTCAGAGCTATGTTTATGATCCCACGTGTTCACTACAAAAGCCCTGCAAGACAGACTTTAACTCTATTTTCAATGAGAAAACAGAGATTATGTAATTGTTCATAGGACACTGTGAATAAGAGAGCTGGAGAGAGGCTTCAAGTCTGTCTGCTGCCAAATGTCCTGATATTTCTACTCTGTTGTACTGTTTGATAATAAAGACCATGAATCCAAAGGTGAGATGACAAGTGGGCCAAATACAGAGTGATGCGGAAGAACAAGACAGGAAATATAAGGGATATGTAAGCATATGTGGAGGAGAGAGGAGATGGCTTATGTCAGGGATTTGTGGCCTCACTAAAAAACATCATCTTCTCAGCAGTTAAGCCACCTGGCCATAGATCAATGGTCAACAATCCTACACATATAACTTGGAGCCATTACTAGTGTCACAAAATTTAAAGAGGTTGGATGGAAAGTTTAGGCACATTGAATAAACTTTACCATCCCAGTTACAACTAAAGTCTATGCCAAAAGAGTGTTGATGTTTTGGCTGTGTACCCATCCAAATCTCATCTTGCATTGTAGCTCCCATAATCCCCTCGTGTTGTGGGAGGGACCTGGTGGGAGGTAATTGAATCATGGGAGTGGGTTTTTCCCATGCTGTTCTTGTGATAGTTGAATAAGTCTCACAAGATCTGATGGTTTTATAAATGGGAATTCCCCTGCACAAACTGTCTTGCCTGCTGCATGTAAGATGTGGCTTTGCTCCTCCTTCACCTTTCACCATGATTGTGAGACCTCCCCAGCCATGTGGAACTGTGAGGTTTAACTCGTTCCTTTATAAATTACCCAGTCTCAGGTGTGTCTTTATTAGCAGCATGAGAACAGACTAATACAGGTGTGTTCAGTTGATACAACCATCCGGTGTGCAATATTCCCATTTTATAGATGATGCTCATCACAGCAATAGTTGTCTAATAAGTGGGAAACAATCTAATTGTTCAGCATTAGAGGAGAGTGAAGTAGTTCAGATTCATTCATATAATTCAGTTGGTCATTTATTAGGGGTATTGTTTTTAACAATTCAAGAAAACATGTATAATAACAGAAGCTGGTTTGGTTTTTTAATGGAAGACATGAGGCAGAATCAACTTATCAAATAGCTAAAATATGTTAGATATTTTTTGCAAATATTTCACTCAGTCCCCGGTAACGCTGTGTCTTAGGTATTATCAGTATCATTCAGATAAGGAAACTGAGGCTTGTCTTTTTTTGAGCATCGTTCTCAGGTTCACACAGTGAGTAACTGGGCCAGTAATGACTCCAATCTTGCCTCCTGACTTGGAGGCTTCCAGATTATACTGTTTCTGTGTGAGAAGAGACAGAAGGCTCCCTGAATCTGGAGAATTGATTCCCCTGGCTAAGATATGAAAAAAAACCCAATCATAAAGAATTATAAACAGAAATGGAAGATCTTAGATTTTACCCTAATTTTTATATTTGTTCTCATTGTTTTATTATTTGATTAAAACTATTTTCTTCCTTTATGCGTTCTTGCTTTTAAAAACAATGTTCCTCTTGGTTCTTGCTTTATTGCTAACTCAACTATGAGCCCTTCTTTTTGTTCCTTATTGGTCCCCAGGCTTCTAACCCTAAATCAGTTCTGGGTTGGGTTCCCTCAAGGTTTGGTGCAACCTATTATCTCATTCCTCTGCTGTTGTCAGAGACTTTATTTTGCCATTCATGAGTGCATAATAAGAGATAAAAACTGATTTGGTTTCTAATAGGCAATAGAAGACATGGGGAAGAATGAAAGAGAGAGACACACTGCTTGCTCGGATATTACTGCTATTGCTTATAGTAGCAGTAAATAAACTAGTAATAATTACTAAGATGTGCAATAAATTACCAAATATTAAACTATTTTAAATACTAAAATACTAAATATATACTGAATAATAGTATTAAATATGTCAGAAAATATTACCAAAATAGTAAAAATAATGGCTTAATTTCTGTAATGTTCTATAATTTATAAAGTAATTTCACCTATATCATCTTAGTATGCTTTGTTGGATATAGGCAGAACTATTTTACACCCCAAAGACATTTTGTAAAAAAAAATTTCCAAAAGGATCTCTTGGGCTCATTTTATAGTAAGATGATTCTGTTGTATAATAGAAAAAGTAACAGCCTTTAGCATTTAATCCATTTGATATTTTTCAATTTATATCCAGAAAATTAAGTGAAACTGACAAACATACCTTGGGGAACTGTTTGGTGGTGATGGGAGATATGAAGATGAACAAGCCATTCAGAGCCAGTGCCTGTAAGGAGCCGCAGTCTTAAGCTCTTGAAAAGAAAAATAATTATAAATTATTTGAGTGATAGTTCAAGGCTGGTCTAGATGAGATGTCTCAAGGGAACTCACCAAATTGATTGATAATTGGAGATGTTTGGGAGAGGGAGAGATGCTTGAATGCTGTTGTGCTAGTTAGGGAGACTTTACTGAGGAGTTGGGCTAGGACATGGGGACTCCAGGTTCCTAGTCTCCTGTCAGACACACTAGAGTATCCTCCCATTGCTGGTGTCTAACAAGCCAAAGTTCAGGTCTGTTTAGTCACTTAGTAATCTCCAAACCTGCTTGCTCATCTGCTAAACGATGAGGAAGCTGCAAGGTGGAAAATGAGACGGCTCACATCTGGTGCAATGCTGAGCTATGGTAGACCCTTAATATATGGTGAAGTCCTCTCCCTCATTGCTGTCTCTTCAGGCAGGGCCACTGATAAGCAGAAAGATAAGAGGAAGAGCTCCACAAATCACATAAAGACATTCAATATGGTGTCTATATTACTATTATACTTGGGCTTATTATACTATTCTATATTATTCGTCTATGCTGTTATTACACTTCTGTTTTCTGTAACCTGAAAAGATCCTGAAGGGAGCAGAAGAGACAATGAAGATAGAGGCTTGACACCCTACTTGTCTGTGCTTGACTTCATGTGGCCATTTATTTGCCTGCAAGGGAGGAGCCATGTTGGGGGAAGATGGTGAGCAGGCTCCTGGAGGGGATCCTGGAGGATGCCTGTCGTCTGCCCCCAGCCTGGGTCCATGCTGGTATCTGAGCCCTGTTGGAATGGGTGCAGGTGGAAGCAAAGGGAATGGTATTGATGAGGTCCTATAAATTATGGGAACATGGGTCATGAGCTTCACTGCTCAGGTATGCTTTATGCCTGATGTGGTGGACAAAATGTAACAAGCCTTTTCACTTTAGTTCAGAGCCAAACACTGTGTACCTCTCATATCTTAAAAACTCCAGGGAAAGGTGCCAGTTTCAGGTAGATGTGGAGGCTGATGTGAAAGTCAGACCTCACAGAGAACTGGGGGAGTAGTGTTCTTACTGGCTGAAGCAGACACAGGAAGATGCTGTGCAGGCACAAGGAAGATGCCACGCACACCTCAGATTACTTGAGAAGAACTTTCCAGCATGCTGAGCGCCAGTAGATTAAGATTTTTGTTATTATGGCTTCATTTGATCCCCAAAACAGATAATGTGCAGGGAAAGTCAGATCACCAGCCTACAGTGGGATAAATAAGGCCCAAGCAGACCCCTGCCACCTCTCCCTTCGGCCCCCACCCCAGCACACACATACAGGCACAAGCATTTTGCTGGTGAATAGCTCAGAGACATGGGGGAAAGGTGGTCTCTGAGTGCTGGCTTTCCAGGTCCTGTGAGGTGAACAGGCCTTCAGTGCCAGATGCCCTAAACAGCAGCGTCCTTACTTCTAGGAAAGAGAAAATATCACTTGATTATATTTGGTTTGAAAAAATTTTGGTAACCTCTATACAGATTGAGGAAGAGCAGGTCAAATGCTGTTCTAATGGCAGTGAAAAGCAGCAGTTCTTTTTCTTCTTACTTGTATGTACATTTTTCTCTTTTATTTTTGGTGAAATCATACATGCTTATAAATAATTTAAAAACACAGAAATTGAAAAATTAAATCAATAAAACATCCTCAATCATAGAAAATGACATTTTGATGCATGTCCTTTCATGCATATAATACTACATGTCATATTTTACACAAATGATGTCATAATGTTGCATAATCTGTAATCTGTTTTTTTCCACTCTCCAGTATGAAAGGATATTTTCCAGTTATCAACATAAATTTATATCATTTTGAATGTAAGCTTATTATTCTGTTTTATATATACATACTATAATTTGTTTAACCAATTCTAGTCTTATGAAACATTTAGTTAGCCTGATAAAATTTTCAAAACGTTTAGTTAGACAAAGATGAGATGAACATCCTTGGGAAAGCTTCTTTGGCTACTGTTTGATTATTGTATTAGGTTATAGTCCTGGAAACCAGATTGCTGAGTCACAGAGTATGCGCATTATTCAGGCCTCTGATATATGGCAGTACTTTCAATCTGTGACCCACAGAACTTCAAAGGGGGTGCCTGGAAACTGCCCCAGGGGACCTCAGCAGGAAAGTCTGAGTGATCAACAAAATCCCAGGCCCTACACCTCGTCTCAACCCAAGTAGCTCCAGTTGGATCAGTTTGATTGGTTGGGCTCCATGTAAGATGTTGTTTGAAAAAATAATTTACGGCTCTGAAAATATGTGGATAGTGCTTGAAAAACATAGGTAAAGTCATATTACAAATGATTGCAACTTGGTGACACAAGTTGGCTGACAAAATGCATGCTTGCTTCAATCTGTGTTTCTGAACTGGTAGGTTGTTGATTTTCCAGTGATTCAGGGAAATTATGGTCTTAATTATCATAATAATGGTGATGCTTTTCATTGAGATAAGAGACCAAAAATTAGACTATCTTTAATCAGGATCTGAGGAAATGCTTCTAAAGCAAAGATTGGAGGAACTTCCAAGAAAAGGACTGGACATTTCAAGATCCCCAGCCAACTAATAATATCTTGTTCCAAGCAGTGGAGCAAAGGGCAGTCACTCCCCCTGACTCTCTCCTTTCTTTTCATCTCTTTTCCCCATTCCTGTACAAGCAAACACACAAGTTCCCACACACTCACACAGGAAGCCATGACCTATCCTCAGGACAAATAGTCAACCACGTTGAGGGTCTACTCACTTGGGAACTCCGAGGCATTTCTAGGATGAAGCCAGAGCTCCTGCCCAGCCTGGCCAGCCCTGGCTAGGGACTTGGTTGGATCGTCAGTGTCCCTGGCACTTGAAGAAGGAAAGCCTTTCAGATCTTTTGTCAAAGTGAAGGAACAACAGTTCTGCCTAACTAGTCAATTTTCCTAATGAGCTATTAGGAGCTGTTTTTGTGCTGAACACTCTGCCCTCATTATAACTGTGCTTCCCAGAAGCAAAACTCTCTCTGTCCATTGTAATGAGCAGAACGCTGGAGTGAAACACAGTTTTAATGAGTTACAGCATGGAAATAAAATGGAACAACTTGCATCTGAGAGCACCTCAAAGTATAGCTAAGGCCAGTGCATACCTTTACATCAGTGGAGCAAACCATTTGGATGTGACTTCCGTCATTGGCAAAACTGGAAGAAACCAAACAGGCTTTACCAAAAATGGTGCCCTAGCTGATGAGAGAGAAGAAGATGGAGCTGGGAAATCCCCTCAAGTTTAAATGGGAAAGAAGGAAAATTCATTGTAACTCTGAGAAGTAGAGCAAGTAGTTCTAAGTAATAGACACGGCAGTATTTATGTTACTTTATAATACACAATATTGACATCTGCCCCAGAGTATGCTGGGAGTAAAGGTAGACAGCAAGATTTATTATCGGGACATAGTCAGTTGTGACTGGAGGTCAAATGGAGATGGAAGAGACTAATAGTGTGATGGATCTGGCTCATACCAGTTTGTGAAACCTGATGTTAAATTTTCAGGAATTTTTCAACATGTTTAATAAATACAGCCATTAATACTTACATAATCATAATTAAATCATTATATTGTAAACAAACATAAGAAATACTCAAAACTCATTGCTTCCTGATTATTTAACTCCGTCTTATAATTGTTCTGTCATGGTTATTTATGTCTATTGTATCTATAAGGTAGACAGACAGATATTCAATGATGTCACATTGCTAGCTTGAGATTGTCCATCATGGGAGTATTTACACCATGCAAATCAGCAAATGCTACAAGTCAGGACTGGATTTATTGTGTAGATTGTATATCTAAACTAAAAGTATTGGAAAAAAAATAATGCAGATTGAACTCAAATGTGTGTCATACCTGTGGGTGTTACATTGTGAATGGCATGCAAAAAAATTGAACTATTTTTCCATTATGTGAAAATTATTATTCGATTCAGCCAAGAAGTCAGCCATGTCCTTGATGAGTGCGTGATGTTCTTACACGTCTGTTGTTTCATTTCCATCTTACTCATTGATATAAACAGAAAATATCTAACAAAATTTATACTGGAATTACACTCATTTATCAATGGAAACCACAGGTTAGCTATGAATATCAGAGGTGAGCAAGCATTCTTTAAGAATCAGTTGGCTATGTAGAAATGTCAATAAAGACCAGTGTTATTTCAATAAAGAATAGTATAATTTATTTGTAAATTATGTGTTCTATATCTTTTAATTTTAATTTTTATAATTATTATTTTTGAGACAGAGTGTAGTTCTGTCACCCAGGCTGGAGTGCAATGGCATGATCTCGGCTCACTGCAACCTCTGCCTCCTGGGTTCAAGCAATTCTCCTGTCTCAGCCTCCAGAGTAGCTAGGATTACAGGAACTCACCACCACTCCCGGCTACTTTTTGTATTTTTAGTAGAGACGGGGTTTCACCATGTTGGTCAGGCTGGTCTTGAACTCCTGACCTCAGGTGATCCACCTGCCTTGGCTCCCCTTAGTGCTGAGATTGCAGGCGTAAGCCACCACACTTGGCCTGCTCTGTATCTTTTATATATATAAAATTTATAATGATTGCATTTACATACATATATACATGCATATACACATACATACTTCTACATGGTTGTTAAATATTTGTCAGCACACAACCAAAGAGACCACACCCTCTCCAAGAAGAGGTGACTACTAAGCACAGCAGCATGGTAGAATGGCAGAGCAAGTGTTCTGGTGTTAGGTTCACAAGAGTAGCCTAGCATATGGGGTCTGGGTCTGACTTGCTGTGTAGCATTGAGCAATCACTTATGCTTTCTGAATTTTAGTTTACTCATCTATAAAATGGAGATAATACTCACATTTAAAGGTTGTGGGTAAAAGAAAATGAGATCAAGTGTTGTATTAGAATAGGGCCTGACATTTAGCAGGCTGTTATCAATTTATTATTATTATTTGAAAGCAAATATAGATCCAGTTTAGTTCCAGATATGTGGAATGACCTAAGGATTCTCTGATTTGTAGGGAGAGGAGAAACTTGACTATAAAAGCTTTCAAAAGGGCTGCTGTCCAAAATCACCAAGGAAATATTTTGGCACTTCAACTTAACTTGAGGAGCAGGGAGCAGGTTAATGAACATCTATCACTTGCCAAGGTTGCCTACATGCAATATCTTCCACTTCATGGATATTCTATAGGGGAATATGTAAAATCTATTTTCTAGTGATGGCTGAAACAATATCTTCCTTCCCATGTGTTTTAGAGCTTTGCATTCCTTCATCAAAAGTAAAGACTAATTTCCCTCCCTTTGAATCTGGGCAGGCTTGTGGCTCTTTACAGCCAACAGACACATCAGAGGTGACAAAGCATGACTTCCACTGTGCTGCTGCTCATATCTCAGCAGTGAGGACAATCACCTTTGGAGCTCTGAGCCTCCATATAAGATGTTTAACTACTCTGAGTCACAGTGTTGTGAGGACACTAAGCAGCCTGGAGAAGCTATGTGTTGGTGCTCTCACCGGTAGCCCCAAACTTTGAGTCCTCCTAATCTAGGCTTTAGGTATCTGAGTAAAAAGCCTTCAGGCAATTCCAGACTTCATTTATAAAGTCATGTTTAAACTTTGATCTTCCCAGGTGAGGCCCCAGACACCAAAGACAGAGACCAGCTGCCTACTCTGCCTTTTCCAAATTACTGATCTACAAAATCCATGAGTATAATCAAATGGTTGTATAATGTCACTAAGCTGGAGATGGTTTGTTATACAACAATAGTTACTGGAATCAGAATTATTATCATTCACATTTTACAGACAAGAAAATTGAGGCTTGAAAGAGGTTAACTGTCTTGTAGAGTCACATAGCTGGTCATCGGCAAATTTGAAATTCATACTGAGGGCTTCCTGGCTGGAAATTCTATGCTGTTTATAGTACGCTACATTTTCCTGCCCATTGGAGGGGTGAGAACTGTTGCTCTGCTAACTAGATGGATCCCAGAAGGGCAGGGAGGAGTGGGGGAAGGAGAGGATAAGAGTTAGTCACTGGAGAATCCTGAAGATTGCTGGGTTCTTGTTAGAAACACTGGCTGGAGTGGGATAAGAGAAGCCGACAACTTAAAAAATGGAGAGGCTAGGTTCAGGCTCTGAAAACAATTCCCTCTCCTCTTAGCAAAAAGAAAAAAACAAGCAAATAAAGATTGTCATCTCAATCCTGGTGTTTTGGTGTTTGCAGCTGTCTCTGTTGTGAACACAGCGTATTCCCAGCTGGGGGTGGAATTGATGAGTCTGTTTGACAACATCCTCTAGGGTTATAATACCTCGAAGTCTAGATGTCAGTGCTAGGGACTTATAGCATGTCACCCTCATTTCCCTGCCATCAAGAGACAGCAGATAGCCTAGTCTCTCTTGGAGGCTTTGGGGTTCATGAGGGGAGCAGTGGGGTTCATGAGGGGAGCAGTAGGCCTCCAATCTTGGTCTGCAGCTTCTGTGTAAGGCCTCCTGAAAGCTGGTCCAAGGTTGTCTCTGGATATTACCCTCTCTGAGAAGGCAAGTCGTGCCATTGATAGGCATCCCTAGCTTTTTCCCTCCAGTGCCTGTGTACACCTTTGTCCCATCTTCAATGACGTCTTTGCAATCTTAAGTCTCTACAATATTAATATCATTTCCTTTTTAAGCAGCTTATATACGTTGATCACTTATCACTTTATGTGCTTCGTGTGTATTCCTCATCAATTTACAAAATAATCCCATGGGAATGGCACCCTTATTTTCCCCATTTTACGAATGGGGAAAAGGTGCAGAGAAAGATACATAGTAATCAACAGAACTGGATTCATTTGCAATATAAAAAACAGCTCTCAATCTTTATTATATATCTTTAGAACATATTGTTAAGTGACATCAGGAAGAAGAGATGAGAATTATGGATCATAATAACTTTCATTTATTAACTGCTTATTCAGCATCTGGTATTTGGTAATCCTCAAAGTGAGCAATCCATATAATAAAACCATCTTAGAGATGATGATTCAGAGGATCAGAGAGAAGTAATTTGCCTCATGCAACAAGACCTGAGTTTATCTGATTTCAAATTCCATGCACATCTCTACTAAACTCCCAAGACAGGGTCTATCCATTGGAGCTTGTCACTCCTAGGTTCTGCCACATCATAGCTGCCTGGTTGTCCAAACTCATATGGCTCGATCCACTTATGTTGTCACATTTCCTTAAATACAGAGCCTACAGGAGGGAGCAAATGCCAGTTACCAAGGTAGCATAGAGGTGGCACCCCAACTGAACTGGATCATTCCTCATTTCCTTAAATATGCTTAACTATACCCCTTTCCCTAGCCTCAAAATTTTCCTGAACTGAGCTGACTCCCGCCCTTGAAGTGCTTGGTCCAGTCTAGTGCTGGTCTTTGGTTTGTGAAATCCTTGTAAGTTCCTTCTATTCCTTTGAGGCTCATCTCTCACTTATCCTACACTCTGAAGCCTTCTTTCACTCTCCTGGACAAATATGGGTAATTCTTGTGCCTTACCCTAGAACCAAGTACATAATTCCTTTAAGACACTTAGTCTGTGTCTATTTACCTACCTCAGGTCCCCATCAGACTCTGATTCTTGGGGACAAGGATTATATATATATTTTTTATCCTCGACACCTGCATTATCTGGCATACAGGAGGAGCTCAGATATTTTATTCATCTAAGTTTAATTAAATACCTAATTCTAAATGCTTTATACAGATTGACTCAGTTCTTAAAACAGCCCTATGAAAGAGGTACTCTTGTACATCATTTACAAATGGGGAAGCTCAGCCACAGAAAGGGGAAGTTATTGTCCAGAGTTATGTAGCTAGTAAGAGGAAGATCTGGGATTTGAGCCCAAACAATTCTGGCTATTGGAACAGAGTCTGTGTTTTTAAACTTTTAACACACTGCTATTATTCCATGGCAGGGACAATTCTAAACTTTGGAGAGAACAGTGACCAGAAGACAGACAAGGTTTCTGCTTGTCTTTGCCCATTTTGTGATGGTCTCATGGGAATGTCTGAGACTGAGTAATTTATAACAAACAGAAATTTATTGGCTCATAGCTGTGGAGGCTGGGAAGTCCAATATCAAGGTACTGGCACCTTGGGAGGGTCGTCTTGCTGCTTTATTAGCCAGCAGAAGGCAAGGTGGTGAGAGAAGAAGAGGGAGTGAACTCACCATTTTATAACAGCACCAATTCCATCCATGAGGGTGGAGCCCTTATAGCCTGATCACCTCTTAAAGGTCCCACCTCTTAATACTGTTATTGGCGATTGGATTTCTACATGAGTTTTAGAGGAGATAGACATTCAAACCACAGCCCTGCTGTCAGAGAGAGTGGGGGAAATGCCAGATTGTGCAAATACGTGTGAAGGGACACATCTACTTACTGTGTTGTGGCTTACAGGAGCCAAGTTTAGGAAAAGAAGCATTTCTAGGAATAGAAAGAGGAATTAAAAAGGTTCAAGGTGCTGGGTGCGGTGGCTCACGCCTGTAATCCCAGCGCTTTGGGAGGCTGAGGCAGGTGGATCACCTGAGGTCAGGAGTTTGAGACCAACCTGGCCAACATATTGAAACCCTGTCTCTGCTAAAAATACAAAAATTAGCCGGGTGTGGTGACACATACCTGTAATCCCAGCTACTCAGCAGGCTGAGGCAGGAGAATTGCTTGAACCTGGGAGGCGGAGGTTGCAGTGAGCCGAGATCGCACCATATCACTCCAGCCTGGGCGATGGAGCAAGACTCTGTCTCAAAAAAAAAAAAAAAAAAAAAAAAGGTTCAAGGGCAGAAGGGTAGTGGCAAAAGGATTCTAGAGCCCAAAGCCTGGTTCATATTGGACCATGTTCACCCAAGGCAGGAGCCAGCTTAGCTCAGAAAGGCCCAGTGTAAATGAATCAATGTTTGGTTCACTGACTGTTTAACTGTTGACTGAGGGGGAGATCAGAGTTCTGCCTGGCACACTGGATAAGAGATTGCCCTCTGGATAAGAGCTGCTTTATGTATCTGAGTGGGGATGTAATGGTAAGTGATAGCCATGTTACCTTCTCTCAGCTTTTGCTAAATGGAGCAGCTTCCCTACTGGCAGAGCTATCTTCTTTTTCCAACCTTGGGTGTTCCATGAGCTCTCAGCTCCACAAAGAAAGCCAGCCAAGATAAAGAAGACTGAACAGGAAGCTTTAGCATTAGAATGCTCTGGGGTGTTGCAGCACAGGTGTACAATGGAAAAAAGTCAAAACTAGAGCCTCAATCCTCATGCTTCCTGGGCAAGCTCCCTAGCCCTCCTCTGTTTCTTGAGGTTCTATTCATTAGAAGGGTTAGAAGTCCACCAGAAGCTTGCTGGTGGACTCCCAGAAGCTCTCACATACTGAGCTGTTGTTGGAGGAACAAGAGGCTGTTGGAAGTTCTAAGGAGGATAGGGAAGAGGCTCTCATTCTTGCATGGTCAGCCATAGTCAGCCTGCTCTGAAGGCATCAGGGTAACACGTTGAGCAGAGGAACTGGAAGGCAGAGACCCATGTGAATTGTAGGTGTGGATGATCCCTAGAGATAAGAGTGTGATCACAGAAAACAACTGACTACGAGAGAGGCTGGCTTTAGACAATGTTGGAGTGCTGCCAATTTGAAATCTGTGAGTAGACCATTAGGATAGGTGCAGAGTGACCAACTGGTTCTGGTTCAGCTGAAACTCCCATGTGTTGGGAACTCACTCAGTCCTGGGCAAACTGGTACAGTTAGGCACCTTAGGTACAAATCTCACTCTGAGGTAGAGTTGCCAGATAAAATATTGCATGGATTCTACTTATACTCAACAAACAAAAAATTGTTTATCTGAAGTTGAAATTTAACCGAGTGCCCTGTGTTTTTAGTTGCTAAAATCTAGGCACCCTCCTTTGTGGTATTTGCAATATTGTAGCCAGTAAAGAAAGAAGGCAACTGTTATTTGGAGAAACTCCCAGATGGGATAGATTGGGTAAGTCTCTTTGTCTTCTTATGTTTGAAGGAAGCTGAACCTGGCCAATATGGTGAGGAGCGTCTTCAACTCAGAACTGACAAAAGCATCAGTGACAGGTTGGTCTAGCTGCTAAGTGCATAGACTTCCAGAGCCAGGCAGTCCAATGCAGGTTCTGCTATTCACTACTTATGTGGTGTCCGTGGACAAGCTACTTAGTCTTCTGCTTCCATTTCCTTGTTTGAAAAATAGGGTATAGACAGTATCTGTGTCATAGAATTATTGTGATGAGTCAGTGATTGTATATCTAGAAAGCTTTTGAAACAGGGCCTAGCATGTAGCATGGCTATTTGTTGCCTAGCCAGCCTTCCTCCTCTGGTTTATATCACTCAGGAGAAAGCTCCCTCCAGACCCTTGGGCCCTGTGGGCCCTTGTGGCCATGTGACACAGCCTGGCCAAATGACATATTTAATCTGCAACTGCCCAATGGGTTCACCTTGCCTATGGCCTAGCCAGGGGAATTGCAAAAGAGAAAGAGTAATTCATGCAGAGCCAGTTGTGTGGGAGACCGGAGTTTTATTATTACTCAAATCAGTCTCCCTGAGCACTGGGAGATCAGAGTGTTTAAGGACAACTTGGTGGGGGGAAGCCAGTGAGCCAGGAGTGCTGATTGGTTAGGTAGGAGACGAAATCATGGGAAGTTGAAGCTGTCCTCTAGTGCTCAGTCAGTTCCTGGGTGGGGGCCGCAAAATCAGATGTGCTGATTTATCAGTCTGGGTGGTGCCAGCTGATCTATCAAGTGCAGGGCCTGCAAAATATCTCAAGCACTGATCTTAGGGGCAGTTTAACCTCCAGCTACATGACTCCTAAACCATAATTTCTACTCTTTTGGCTAATGTTAGTCCTACAAAGGCAATCTTGTCCCCAGGCAAGAAGGAGGTTTATTTTGGGAAATGGCTGTTGTTGTCTTCATTTTAAACTATAAGTTCCTCCCAAAGTTAGTTCAGCCTATGCCTAGGAATGAACAAAGCTTAAAGGTTAGAAGCAAGATGGAGTCAGTTAGGTTAGATCTCTTTCACTGTTTCAGTAATAATTCTGCAAAGGCGGTTGCAATCCTCTAGAGTCCGTTCCAATGATTGGTCCAGGGAGAACCTGAAGCACAGGTCAGTGCAATCAGAGCCAATTCGTTGGCTCTTGTTAGGACAATTGAGGGAGAGGAGCCCTTTGCCTCTATATGCAATCATATACAAAGGCGTTATGCTGGACCACCCAGGGTCCTGCACAAGGACTACCTGCCTGAGACTGGGGATGATCCAACGTAAAGCAAGACCTGAGAATGGAGAAAAATGGAAGCAGCTATTGTCATGGTTTGAATGTTTGTGTCCACTCTCAAATTTATGTTGAAACTTCATCCCTAATGCAACAGTATTAAGAGGTGGGGTCTTTAGGAAGTGATTAGGTCTTGAGGACTCCCTCTTCATAGATGAGATTAGTGCCTTACCAAAGAGCTTGAGGGGACAAATTCAGCCCTCCACCTCTTCTGCCACGTGAAGACACAGCATTTATCTCTTTTGCCGTCTCTCCTTCCACCATGTGAAAATGCGGCAACAAGGCACTGTCGTGAAAGGAGAGCCAACCTTCTGTAGACGCTGACTTTGGCAGTACCTTGATCTTGGACTTCCCAGACTTCCAAGAGCTGTGAGAAATAAATTTCCATGATTTAAATTGCCTAGTTTGTAGTATTTTGTTATAGCAGCACAAATGGACTAAGCTAGCTTCCCTAGTGTGAGTGCCTGGACCCTGCCTTTCCTTGCAAGTGACTGAGAGCACTGCTGTGGCATGGCCTTGTGCATTGGAACCTCGAGGCCGTCACTTGTTTCCTGTGCAACCTTGGGTGAGTTCCTGTACCTCTCTGTTCCTTGTTCCCTTGGCTTTACAGTGGAGAGAGTAATAGCATCTCCTTCATAGAACTGTTCTGAAAATTAAGTGCGTTAATATACATAAGGTGCTTAGAATAGTGCTGGGCAGTAAATATTGGATGTTATGACCACTGGGCATTTCTGTTTTATGAGGCAATAAATCCTCTTTGGGGTTTAAATTGGCTTGAATGGGGTACCTGCCACTTGTTACCAAAAGAATGTTCATAAATAAAAAATGCATTTTGAGGAGAATCTGGAGTTCTAGAATAACTTGCACATCTCCCAGGGAGAACAAAGGGGATGTTTGTTGAAGAAGAGGAATGTGAATGACTGAGAGCCTTGGTTCTCCAACTCTAGTGTATGTCTGGAGAGTTTGTGAAAACCGACTACCAAGTCCCACCTCTAGAACTTTGGATTTAATAAGTCTGGGGTGTTGCTAAAGGGATTTGCATTTTGGAAAAGTTTCTGGGTGATGCTGGGGCTTCTGGCCTTGACATGTATACTTTGAGAGCCTCTGGATTACATAAAAGCCTGAAGCAGTGACATTTATTTAGTTTTATTTAGCAAAGTTGTATGTGTATGTCATGCCTACTATGTGCCAGACACTGTTCTCAGTGTTTTACAAATACTGATTTAATTTTCATAACAGTTTCATGATATAGTCCCTATCACTATTTTGCAAATGAGGAAACAAGCCTAGGAAGATTAAATGACTTGTCTGAAGCTTGTTGATGGAAAGTTAGAAAATGTACCCAGCCAGCCCAGGCTGTTCCTAACCTTTATTTTAGGCTGCCTCTACACTATTCAATACAAAAAGAAAAGGTTATGAAAAATACAGACGCTTAGGCCCCACCCTCAAATTGTGGTTCTCCAGGGGTGTGCAGAAGGCAGGGAGCAGCCCTAGATAGTTGTGCTGGCTTTCAAAAGTCACTCGAGGGATTCTGAGGCAATGTGAGCCCTGAGGAGTGGAAGCCTCCTCTCTGATGCTAGCTCCTTGGCCTCTCACCAGTTACGGATTTTCCCCAGGAAGGGCCATTCCTCTGTAGACTGCAGGAGTGTGGAAAGGTCTGGAGGGAAGAGGGCTTTTCTCCACTGCAGGTGTTGAGACCTGTGGGGAGCAGCAACCAGGAGTCAGAGGTTAAACACTGCCTCTAACTAGGATCCGATAAGATCTTTAGCAACAATTAGCACCTCTTCAGCTCCTGAGAGCAGAGACTCTGCTTGCTTTATTTCATGACTTTCCTTCCCTGGCTGCCTGTTTCAAATTAGTAAGGAAAACTCAGCTCAGACTTGATAAAGCTGGGCCTGGGGAGTTAAGTCTTGGGCACAGCGTGACATTTCCACAGGGTTTCTACTGGCTCCTTGGTTTATACTCACTACTGCTCCTGCATTCTAGGGGCTTGTGTGTCCTTGTGCACAGAGCCAGGCTCCAGAGCTGGAGGAGATCTGTAGAGATACTCAGGTCTCATCTTGTCCTCCCAATCACCATGGCATCTCTCCTGCAAAGCCACCCCAGCTCCCTTTACAAAAGAGGGAATTATGATGCCAAGAAGAGAAGTGACTTCTGAAGCCACTGGAGAACAGAGTCAAAATCAGAACACAGAAGGGATATTTTTTAATAAAAATAATACAAAGGTCAACCTTTGAACGAGTCTAGATTTGAAGCCAAGCTCTTACCTTTGCTAAGTTAGTAGAGACATATCGCCTGGACTTCCCTGTGACCTTTGCAAAGTATAGTTTTTCCCTCGGGGTTATTACAAAGTCATTTTGGTCCTTGGGACTAACATAGCAAAAAATAACTCAGCTGGGTCATCGGCCTTTGAGTTTGCTTTTGTTTTTGTTTAAAATACCACAACTTATGCTGCCCAGGAAGCAGATCAGACAAACTTGAAATGGTCATGGAATTTTCTTCTATTCATGTGTTTGTTCATTTTTGTTTTCATTCATAATTGGTTTGTTGAATGAGAAGTTCACTTTGGAGAGAGAAAGAAGATGCTGAATCTATAACATTACTTCTGGAGCTTACCAAATAGTAAGAGAACCACACTTAGGCCAGTGTATAGAAAGTTGTACTTTCTATAGTAAACCAGAATTAACATTTCTTATGCATGGAAACTGTACTAGGTGTTTTAATGTTAAAGTATTTAATCTTCTCTAAATCCTTATGATGTAAGTATAATAAATAAGAAAACTGAGAGTTAGAGAGGTTAAATAAATTTCCCAAGATCATAGTGCCAGGTAGTGACAGAATCAGGTTCTAAGCCAGTCTATAGGCTGAACGTTTGTGTTATTTTTGCTCTGCCATGAGCTGCCAGGCATGTAGTTGGGTGATTTTGTACGCAGATATTAACATACATACATATGTATATGTATGATACGAAGAGGGTAGATCTAGGAAAGGAGTCATAGAAATTGTGTTTGAGTAGATCAGAGAGGTGCACTTCTCACATAAAAAACCTAAATATGCATTGGAAATAGGAAGGCGCATGGCATGTTTGTAGAACCATATGTAGTTACGTTTGCCAGGAAAGGGATTGTGTGGGAAAATAATGGGACATGATGAATAAGAGAAAATGTACAGCTAGATAAGCAGAAGAATTGGATACTAAGCTGAAGATAGCAGACTGTGGGTGCTGTGGCTGCTGAGTGCTGATAGATGGCCATCTGTCACAATTTCATGCGAGGTTACAGTTCTTTCACTCAAGACTCAATAGACTTCACTTAGACGTTTTCACATGTACCCCCAGAGAACTGCTTCAGATTGCTGACATTGTCCCAATTTCTTATGGACTGATGTTAGCAGCAGCATAAGCTGTTTGCCATCCCCTTTCAGTCATAATAAGCATTAACACATTGGGAAGAAAACCCAAACAGTCTTGAAATTGCCCCTTAATCCCACCCTTCTAGGCAACCTGAACTAGGGACAGCCCCTACATGCTGAGTATCACTGGGGACATTGCAATCAACTTTCCTGGTCCCAGCAAATGATCTACCTGATGGCCAACCTCTTTTGTTAGACATCCCTCATTCCCATCCCCTCCACCTACACACCACCTTGTTACCTCTTTGCAAATTCCTCTCCAGTTAATTCCTTCCACAGTACCTCTCAGCACCAGTTCTACTCCAAGCCCCTTTCACTTCTCCAACTACCCCATAAACGGCACTCACCCTGATGTTGACTCATTAACCCTCATGCCATGTATTTCCTTAGTTTTCTTAGTTGAATTCATTTAATTTCTTCAGTGTTGTTATCTGCAGGGAATTGTTTTGAAAGCCAAAGGATTAAAGACAAATCACATGATGTCTTCTCCATACAGACCACAACATTCATCCCATAATATTTTATTTATGTAACATATAATTGAGAATATATGGGCAAGACTGTAATGGGAATAGGAAGAGCAGATGTCACTGAAGGCAACAACCTCATGGCTCCTAGTGGAAGGGAAAAGGGAGAGGTAATTGTGTGAGCATATATTGATTGTTACCTCACAGTTACCTGTGAGCAGCCCCAAATTGCCTTGATTTAGTGTGTATGAACACCTTAGGTCTTCCTAATGTTAGGTGGTCATTTGATTTCTCTTTGTCCAGATGCGTCCTGCACCCTGTTGGAGATCTACTTTCTTTAAGTCTTTTTATTAAAAAATAATTCAACTGTGAACCAAGTGCTGTGCTAGGTACTGGAAGAACAGTGGTATTATACAAGACATCCATCCTGCAATTAAGAGGGTACTGTAGTTAAATAGCCTAAGGAAAATTGAGATACAATATGATACATGCAACGAAGATAAAAGGACAATGAAACCTGGTATAAACCTTGGTCTAGAATGGGTTTAGGGCAGGATTTGAGAAAGACTACCTAGAAGTTCTGATATTTGAGTTAGACCTTAAAGGATGTATGGGAGTTCATCAGAAGTAATATTGGAAGATGGAAAGGGAGAAGGGGATGGAGAATATTCAAGGCAGAAGGAATAGCATGTATGAAGTCCTAGAAGAAAGGAAGAGCAAGGCTTATAGGGAATGGTGAGAATGCCAATATGGCTGAATGTAGGTATAAGAAAGAATGGGATAAAATGAAACACTACCCTCTTTAAAACTTCCTACCAACTTGTTGACCACACTTCTCTGTCTCTGCAGGCTCAGTCTCCACTGTCTGGTCATTAGAGGTTAAGGTCCTCAAGATTTGGTCCTATCCTTGCTTTTGTTCCACTCTGTGTCCTCTTCCTGGGCAACTTCACCCATGCCCAGGAAGTTCAATTACACAGTCAAATGAGTTTTTATTTCTGGTTCAGAGTTGGACCTCTAGCTCAGACCTTCAGACACATATATGCCACGTAGGGTCTCAAAGGCACCATATTTGGCTCAAAACAGAACCCATAGTTTTTACTTTCTTAACTAGGTTCCTCTTTCAGTGATGAGCACTGCCGTCCATCCAGTTATACAAGTTGAACATTATCCTGAACATAGGCATTATCCCTAACATCCTTCTCCAACTCACACATCCAATTCACCACAAGTAATGTTGATTTTACTTAAGTATCTCTCAAATCTATCCACTTTGATCTACTTCTATCAAGTACACAGCAGTTAAAGCTACAATTTCTTGCCTAGACTTTTGCTATTGCAATAACTCTAACTTGTCCTCACATTTCTACTCTTAATCTCACTTTTAATTTAAGCCCTTCAGTTTAGAACCAGGGAATCTCTTAGGAAGCTGAGCAATATGGTGAACTAGAGATCATAAAAATTTCTCCCAGTGTAGAACAAAATACACTGGATTAAACTGCATGGCTGATCTGGCAGGGAAAAAGGAATAAGATGATTTCTTAGAAATAAGACATTAAATAAAAGTGCAGATCTGTAGGATCTGGCTCCAGCCAGGATAGTTTATAATCTGGATTTTAATGGGTCATGTATACCAAAGAACAAAAACAAAAAACAATGCTTGACCCAACACAGGACAGTAGTTAGAGACACCTGGAATAAAATGGAGACTTCCAAAGAGTGACATCCTCAAATAAAATAGGAAAAAAAAAATTTTCTGCTGAAGGAGACAGTGGGGATACATACAAGGTTTTTTTTTTTCCCTAATGTTTTCCTTATCCTTTCATTATGCACCATTACATTTAGAGTTTTGAAATAACTACCCATAGAATGGGGAAAAATGTATCCTTTAAGAATGACTAAAAATGGTTGATCATTTGTAAGTCTTTATTCTAGACTTGAGACATGAAAAAGAAAACCTAACAAAACCGGAAAAAAAAAATGGTAGATAGAAGACAAGACTACCATGTAGCTCCTGCTTAGACAGACAGAACATCAGCTGGAGACTCACTTTGTAAACTTTTGCTCCTAGAACCACCACAGGAACATACTAGGAAAACTGAAATAATTCAGAAACCCTTTGAAAGAAGCAGGTTGCTGGCTGCAAATGCCTCAAGACAGCTGAAAAACTCCTAAGACTTGTAGACATAATCTCTTGGGAGCTCTATGGCCCTGCCCATCACCTAAGAAACCCGAGTACTTATCATGGCCACCATAGGGCAAGATTATACACCCCTTGAAAGCGCCACCTTGAAAGATTATACACCTCTCCAAAGCGCCATTATATACTCTTTTGAAAGCGCCACCTCCTGGCTGGAGACCAACAAACTCAAGTCATTACAGCAACTCAGAACAAACCTGCTCCAAAAAATGAGAAAACAACAGCTACTTCCACTGCCTGCAACACCCTGGGCTAACGAGAGGTCCTGAGTTCCATGTGACAACTTGGCTGCTAGCATAACCAGTAATGTCGCCACTTTTATTCAAGATTTTAGTAATTTGAGTCTTCTCTTGTTTATTTTTTCTTGTTCAGTTTACTTAAAGGTTTGCCACGTCGGTTGATATCTTCATAGAAACAACTTCTAGTTTTGTTTATAGTGTTTTCCAAATCTTTTATTCCCTTGTTGGTCTTCTCTCTAGTTGTTCTATCCATTATAGAGAGTGGGGTATTGATGTTCTAACTATTAGTTTTGAATTATTTCTTCTTACAATTCTTACAGTTTTGTTTCATGAATTTTGGGGCTTTTTTGTTAGGACAAATATATATGTATATTTATCATTGTTATAGATTCTTAATTTATTGGCCTTTTAAATATTTTGTGTTTAATAACTTTAAACATTTTGTTTTCTTTCATCCTTTTAGTTTAAAATCTTCATATATTTAAATCAAATTGTGTCTCTCATAAATGACATATAGTTGGATGTTTATTTTATCAATTCTGTCAGTTTCTGTTATTAATGGAATGCTTAATACATTTATATTTAATGCAATTATTGATAAGATAGGATTTATATCTACCACTTTGCTATTCATTTTTTATATGTCTTAATTTTTTGTTCCTGTATCCCTCTATTGGTGTATTCTTTTGAGTTAGTTTATAGTGAATCATTTTTCCTTCTATGTATTTTATAGGGAACCATTTTTCCTTGTCATTTCTTATATTTCGAGCCATTTTCTTAGAGTTGTGCTGAAGATTATCGTTAGCATCTTATAACATTTTAGTTTTGATTAATATCAACTTAATTTCAATAGCATACAAAAATTTTGCTTTTATCTAGCTCCATTCCCTCCATTCCTCTTTGTGCTGTTAGCATCATACAAATTCCGTCTTTATACATGTGTGGCCAAGAATATAGATTTATAATAATTGCATTTTGTAGTTTACTTTAGATCAGATAGAAAAAATAAGCATAATAAAAATATATTCTTACATGTAAACTTACATAGTTACCTCTATCAGTTGTCTGTATTTTTTATGTTAATTCCAGTTACTATTTTATTTTAGTTTAATGGACTCCTTTTAGTATTTCTTATAGGGCAGGATTATTAGCAACAATTTCTCGCAGTTTGTGGTTGTCTAGAAGTGTCTTTCTCCTTCCTTTTTTGAAGGTTAGTTTTGGTGGATGTAGAATTCTTGGCTCACAGTCTTTTTCTTTCATCACTTTGAGTATGTAATTCTACTGCCTTCTGTTCTCTATGGCTTCTTATGAGATGTCAGCTATTAATCTTATTGATAATTACTTGTATGTGAGCAGTTATTTTCTTGCTGCTTTCAAGATTTTCTCTTTGGCCTTTAACAATTTAAATATGTGTCTACTTATACATTTCTTTGAGTTTATCCTACTTGGAATTTGTTGAGTTTCTTGGATTTGCAGTATGATGCTTTTCATCAATTTTGGGAACTTCTTGGCCATTATTTCTTCAAATACTTTTCTCTTCTCCTTTCTCTGTCTCCTCTACTTCTGGGATTCCTGTTATGCATACGTTGCTATGCTTGATAGCATCTTTCAGTCTCTGAGGTTCTGTTCATTTTTGCTCTTTCATTCTTTATTTCTCAGCCTATATAATCTCACTTAATCTGTTTTCAAGTTTGCTGGTTCTTTCTTCCACTTGCTCAAATACGTTGTTAAATCCCTTTCCAATTTTGTTTTATTTGGGTTTTTGTACTTTTCAACTCTAGAATTTCTATTTCCTTCTTTTTAAAATTTCTCCCTTTAAATATTCTCCATTTCATGAAACATCATTCACCTGCTTTCATTTTGTTCTCTAAACATGGTCTCTTTTAGTTGTTTGAACATATTTAAGTAACTGTTTTGCAGTCTTTGTCCAATAAGTTCAATGACAAGACCTCTTTACAGATAATTTCTATTGATTTCCTTTGTCCTGTATATGGGCCTTACATCTTATGTTTTTGCGTATCTCATATTTTTAATTGCTAAAACGACATTTTAAATAATATGTGGCAACTCTGGAAATCAGTTTCTGTCTCTTCCCCAGTAAGTTGTTGTTGCTGATTGTTATTGTCTTATGACGTTTCTTGATTAACAGCTTCTTCAGCTTCAAACTTGGTATGTGTGAGACAAAAAGAAACTCCAGGACACTCATCTCCCTGTTGTTTTTGCATTTCTTGGGTCCTAGTCAGCCTGCCTTCCCTCCAACTTTCATAGTTTTTTTTTTTTTTTTTTAAATCCTTGTCTTGTATACACATTGCAATGTTTTGGGGATGTTTTGCAGACAGAATATGAAAAATATATATATCCATTCTATTTTCCCACAAGTAGAAGTCTCCTTGTCTCTTTTTATAAACAATTATTTGAGACATAGTTTTACATTTTCCCAGTGGTTATTTGGTTTGTCTCTACCACTACATAGTAATCTCCATGAAGGCAAGTGTCTGGTCTGTTCACCATGTTTTCTCCAGTGCCTGGCACATAATAAGGCCTCAATACATATTTTTGGATCAATGAATATACACACCTGCTCTATAAATCTAAAGAAGGTGAAGTTGCAAGTTGATTGAAATTACATGTATTTTCTCATGTGATATTGTTGGAAGCAAAAATCTAATGCTCAACCCAAGAATTCTCCATACATGGAGTTTCTCTGTGGCTGTGCTTAGAACCTATCAGTGGAGAATGTTGTGAAGCTAGCATTGAAGTCTGTGCTACCTGTGGACACTTCCTTAGGCCAAACTCCCCCATGAGGGCAACTACCTGAGAAGGGGATAGCACAGGAATATCCAGGATACACAATACTATAAGGGCTACTTTGTCGCTTCAACATGACATATCAAAATGTCAAACCTCAGGGAGTATCTAGATAATGATTGGGTAGGAAGATACTTGCAATCGTCAAAGAAGAAAATCAAACTTTTCCCATATGATTCTGAGAGGGTACCCCACAATCTTTGTCAGGATTTCAAGGGTGGAGACAGTAGCAAACTACTCTTTAAAGCTCCATGAACAAACATCCCCTATAATTGTACAATAATGACTAGTTATGTTGGTCATAGTTCTCTTTTTTCTCTCCCTTTCTCCCTCTCAAAATAGGGCATCAGGTATAGAAATGTGAAAGTAACATACGTAGGGTCTAAAGTTGAGATATGGCGGCTAATGTGTACATGTATATATATTTAATTTATATATATTTAATTTATGCACAGGAGAGAGTGGTAGTACTCTCCTTTGTGTAATCAGGCAGTGCTTTGATTCACCAGGCATACAGAGTGTGACAGGCATAGGAGTCATCTGAGGCTAAGAGACAGAGGCCTGGAAGAAGGCTCTGTGGTCTCTGTTCTCAGGAAGGTGAAGAGCTAGCATGTACTTGGCTTAATGGGAAAATCATTATAAACTCCAATAATATGCTGCCCTTTTGATGAGAAAGGATAAACACAGTACTAAGAAAATTGGGCTTTCTAGATGAACAGTTCTGATTTTGCTGATTACCAGTTGTATGACCTCTCAACTTCTCTACCTATAGTGTTTATCCCTGCATTGGAGATAATAATAGTTGTTGCTTCCTTGAGCTGGTCTGAGGATTATTGCCTATAAGGTTCTCAGCTTAGTAAGTAGGTAAAGAATAAAGAAGAGGAGAGGAGAGTTGTTATTGATATGGTGGAATATTTGCTTAATAGAATTTTCAGTAACAGTAAACGATTATACTGATCATGCACACTTTCGTGCTCCTGTGGCCTTATGACACACGCTAGCAAGATGGCTGTGGATGTGGATGGAGGCCTAGCTGCAGAACATAGGCCACACAAACTGGACTATATGTGGTCTGAACCAGTGATCTGAGCTTTTTAATTTTTTTTTTTTTTTTTTTTGAGACAGAGTCTTGCTCTGTTGCCCAGGCTGGAGTGCAGTGGCGTGATCTCAGCTCACCGCAACCTGTGCCTCCTGGGTTTAAGTGATTCTCCTGCCTCAGCCTCCTGAGTAGCTGGGATTACAGGCATGTGCTACCATGCCGGGCTAATTTTTTGTATTTTTAGTAGAGATGGGGTTTCACCAAGTTGGCCAGGTTGGTCTTGAACTCCTGACCTCATCATCCGCCCACCTCGGCCTCCCAAAATGCTGGGATTACAGGCGTGAGCCACCGCGCCCTGCCCAATCTGAGCTTATTCAGTAAGAGACTCTAGCCAATTACTCTGTTTGGCCTCAAAGAAGTGCACTTCATCATCTGCAATTTATATGCCCTAAAACCCTCAGTGAAAATTGTTAGATTTGGGTGTTAGAGGCTGCAGTCCCTAGGAGCTAAATAACCATGTCCACATTTAGAACATCTGGCAAAGCTTCTGGCAGCTAGCTAGAACCAGGCAGGCAGAATAGAAATCCTATGAATGTGACATAAGGTAGATTGCAGTGACTAAGCTCTCTTTCTCAGCATGTGTGGAATGACTGCAGTGAAAGAGATATCATGCATAGATAAAGTCCACAGATAAGCTTTTATATTGCAGCTATGCCTGCCCTTCCCCTTTGAACTTTTGCACCAATTGCTAAAGAAGAAACTGTGGTGATCTGTTATTTCCATAGCCTCTTTTTTTTTTTTTAGTCTTCATTCTCTAAGGGAAGCAAAGAAAACAAAACAAAACAAAAAACACTGACCAGAAGGCCAAAAGCAACAGGACGTGGTTCCCTCTACAGAATTTGACATCGTTGATTGCCAAATTCCTTATGAAATATTTTTCTCCCTGGCCTAACAAGAACATTGTTCTGTTTTTCTTCAAACAAACACTTTAATCACTCCTTTTTGTTTCCTTAACTGCATCCTCTTTTTCATCTTGCTCAGAAAATATGCTGTTCCTTGGTCTTCTCTCTTCCCACTCCTCTTTCTTAAAGGCATAAACTTTGACAGTCGTCACCTATTTGTAACATTTTTGAGTTCATGCACTCACACGATCATTCATTTCTACAACACCCATTTGTTTTCAGTTTTTACAAGAAAGGCACCAAACAAAGTAGTGAAAGATGGTGCTCTCAAGAAAATGACAGTCCCAGAACTGATATTCACTGCCCCTCCTAACCCTCAGTACAACCATACTGGTTATTTATCTGTTCTAATTGGCTGGTCTGTGTGCCATAGTAGTTTTTAAATATTTTGACCATTATAGTTAGCTATGCCTAGATGGGGTATAGTAAATAACAGAAAATGCTTAAATTCAAAGTTGACATCTGTCCTGAACTTTAATATCCATTTTGCTGGCCTAAAACTTCCTGTTGCTATCCCAAGTATGAACAACTATTTTTGACGAAATCCTGATTTTCAACGTTCAGGTCCCTTTCCTTTGAAAATTTGCATTCCAGAAGTAGGAGCTCAAAGTTAAAAAATGGGCTGGCTCCTTATTTTGCAAATGAGAAAGTATTTCTCTTTGAGGGATTGTGACTTGCTTAGTCATTCGGTTGACCAGAACCCAGATCCTCCAACCCAAAATTAAGTGTGTCAGTAGTTTTAAAGATTTGGAGGAATTTTTCAATTTCCTACCAGCTGCCCTGGCTTACATATGCAGCAATAAAATTCTTTAGATAGGACATGGCTGTGCATTATCAAGAATGTGTGAAGACAACGTGTGTGAACAAATGTATCCTCTATAATGGCTGGGAGAATGGAGTAATTCAATGTCATTCTTAGGCCAGACCTTGTGCTGCCACACGTTTAATCTACATGCATTTGGTGCCATTTTGTTTGCCCTTTTCACATGGTGCTTCAGCAAGGCCCTAGCTGTTTTCAGTTTACCTGAGTGGATTTCCCAGGGACAGTATTATTTCACACAGTGTTTCAGAAGTTTTTAGTATTCAGGCTTCCAGAGGCATGTTCCAAATTGTTTCATAAACATGTGTACATACATGCTGACGGTTCCCACCCCACACATTCAAGATACAAATGTCCTCTGCCAGATCTTGTCTCTCAATGTTTACTTAACAATATATGGTCACTGTACTGATTAGAAACATAGCAGAGAACAGGAGGCAGGAAGACTGACAACAAAAAGGTGACAGCTGACAGTCTAATACTAAGGGAGGAGGCAAAAATTCATAAAAACCATGTCAGTGAAGGACCATCCTGGATAGTGACAAATCACCCATCACATATCAACACTATATGACAGTAGAGGCCAATGTGGATATTAACAATGCAGAATCTCAAACACCAATGGAAAACATCAGTTTTCTATATCTTTTGTTTTAAAATTCCCAGATATATATCATAAATTTTTAGGAAGATTCCCACTAAAAGTGATTAAAATGCCTTAATGGTGTTTTACAGAAATAATAGTATAACAGTAATACTAATAATAGGAAGAAGAAGGAGGAGAAGAAATCTTCTTGTTTCTCTAAGATTACCAAAGTTTTTTCCCGTTTATATTGGCTAACGTAATCCTCAAACGAATCTGATGAAATAGGCGTGACTTTAACCATTGTTGTTTGAACTAACAGTTAAGGATGCAAAATAGTAAAACAATAACATGAAATAGAATTTCCTGAATCACCCTTCTAGGATGGACCATAGAAATCTTTCCTTCTGGGGTATCTCAAAACATGCAGTGTCCACATTCCTGGGTTTCTCAGATGACCATTTTGATGGACCCCACACCTCAGGTATCTAAGGCTGGTTGACTCTAAGAAAATCTGGTGTAAAATGCTCCTGTATTGGCCATTTCTACTTCCTGGTCAAACAAGAAGTCCTTCTATGTCTCCTGCTCTCAGGGTCTTCTGGAAACTTCCATGACACAATATTCTGACTTTGCATGGTTATGGAATTCCTACCATTTGACTGTGACGTTCAGACAATGGAGGGAGGGGGGTCAATGTGGGTGGGGACAAAAGCAAATATTCCAGCACTTAATGCAAGAGACCGTCCCATTCTCCTCCCATGACCTCCATATCACCACATCACCTGACATGTCCACCCCATGTATCTACCCCTCACTGTGCTTCTTGAGCTGTTGAGGGGTGGCATTTGTTTTCTAATGCATGAGGGGTCTTATTCGCCAGGCTAGTTGTCAGCTCTGACGTGTGCAGTCATCTGTCATTTCTATCAAACTCCTTAGATCTTGCAAGTTAGACCTGTGAGTGGCCCCCACCCATCAGCCCTCCAGACAGACTTGGATGCGTTTGAACCAGAAAGGGTCAAAGTTTCAGCCTTCTATATGGGGCACCTCTTATGAGCTGAGTCATATCTTCTAGAATCCACCTTGTTACAGGTACTTGATGGTGAACATTGCAAGTAGATTTCAACCAGCTCCGGGCAGGTGCTAGAAGATAGCACCTTGCCTTAAGCCAGTAATAAATGCTTCTGCCTTTCACCCCCAGGCAGACTGTTCTGAGATCCATTTCATTCATTTCCTCAGAAGCTCCAGCTCAACTAAGTATCAGTTCCCTGTGGTGATGGCCAACTGGATAATGCATTCATGCATGGGTTTTCCCTCCCTCTTTCACTCCCTTGTTCCTCCTCCTTGGGAATATGTCCCAGATAAACCACCAGGCCTTCAAACCTTTATTGAAAGCTTGGCTCTGGATGGGTGGATTGGAGGAAGGAGGAGGAGTGGAGCCCCCACTAAGGCATTCCTGCTCCAGGTAAAAAATCTACTGTAGTAATAATAAAATAAGAGCCAATATTTATTGAGCACTTAACATGTACCAAACACAGTCGAGAACACTTTACATGCTCTAACACATTTAGTGCAATGTGTGCATTTTACAAATGAGAAAAGTAAGTCTGTGTTTAAGTGACTTGTTCTGAGTACCACAGGGCAGAATTAGGGCATAAAGCTAGTTTCAGATTCAGAGCTGGAACCTAGATTCAGAGCTCTGACGACTGCATGAGACTCAGGTAAGTCTTCAATTGTTTGGAAACCTTGGGGAGGCAGAGAGGTCACTTATTTTATTTTATTTTATTTTATTTTATTTTATTTTATTTTATTTTATTTTATTTTATTTTATTATTTTTTGAGACAGAGTCTCGCTCTGTCATCCAGGCTGGAGTGCAGTGGCACGATCTTGGCTCACTGAAACCTCTGGCTCCCGGCTTCAAGCAATTCTTCTGCCTCAGCCTCCCAAGTAGCTGGGATTACAGGTATGCGCCACTATGCCCAGCTAACTTTTGTATTTTTAGTAGACAAGGGGTTTCACCATGATGGCCAGGCTGGTCTCAAACTCCTGACCTCAGGTGATCTACTCACCTCGGCCTCCCAGAGTGCTGGGATTACAGGTGTGAGCCACCATGCTGGCAAGAGGTCATTTATTAACTGCCAAAGACCATTCTGGTGTTAGCAATGTTTGGAACAGGTGCTTGGAGTTGAGGGTATCTGCCATCTCCTGTACACTTGTGCTGGTCAAATGCAATGAGCTCAGCCTTTCTCTGGTGTAGGGTGTACCGAGTCCCAGTTTAAAGGACCTCATTTCTGGGGTCTCCCATACGCGCATGATTCCATCCTTCACACCCAGAGAAGGCAGGGTATTTCCATGGCTTTGGTGCACACTCAGTGGCCAGAAGCTTTGAGTATCCTTTATCACACTAAAGTTGGCCTCAATCTCAATCTCTCTCTCTCTCTCAATCTCTCTCTCTCTCTCTCTCTCTCACACACACACACACACACACACACACACCTCTTTAAAACTACCAATGGAAATACTTTTAACCCTGTGTGTTAAAAGGGCTAACTGAACTGCAAAACTCTGTCTCTGTAAACTAAGGCAAATATAACGCAGCATGGACTTAATAGCTTTAACCTACTCTACAGCAATCAGGTCCACGACTTCAGCGATGAACTAACATCTTTCACAAACCTCTGCCTAGACCTTCACGCCTCACAGACTGCAGCGCTTCGTGTTGGGTAGAACCCACCTCCCCAGAAGCTGTCTCACACCTCCACTCTGAAATAGCAGCCGGCCATGCCACTGGCCAGTTTATGATACAATAGCTTCCTTGGAGCATGCTTATAAATATTTATAGCACCAAGCGAGCAGTAATGGGCTGCTATTCAAACACACCTGCTGGGGAAGAAAGAAATAAAACAGAAAAGAAAGACAACACGTACACACTTACACATATTCATGCCCACTATATGAAGGTCACTTAGGTATTTAGTCCTAGAGAGCACATGCACAGAACGATCAGAATAATCACTGCTTTCCCAGGGTCTGTGGTCCACACATGCAGTATCCTGGAGGAAGCAGGACAAGGACCCATTTTGTTTGTAAATGTTGCTTCCTCCGATCATGAACATGTTTGTTGAACTACAGTTGAAAAATACTGAAGTGAACAAAGAATAAGAAAAACAGTACCTTACCTATCTTACCTCCCAGAGGTAGGTGTTAATATTTTGGAATATTTCTTTCTATGCTCTAAGAAATGCATAGTCTTTATGCTCTTTTGAGCCTTGCTTTATTACAGTTAATGGTATAGTATCTTTAAACAGTTTGAAAATGTTTTCTAATTTGATAGTTGAAAATGATCATTTGTTCTTACGATTTGCATTGATTTTATTATTGAGGGCTGCTTGCTAACTCAGTTAATAAAGATTTACTTCAACACTACTGAGTGTAAAGCTTCTAGCATTGGCGATGGGAGACAAAGATGCATTGGGCAGAATCCCCGTTCTCAAAATGCTTGCAGTCTGATGGAGCAGAAAAGGAAGCTTTGCCTTCAGTGTGTAGTAATTATGATTTCTTCTTTTGTGGCCTGTGTATTCAGGTCTTTTAATAGTTCGGTTTTTGGATGGAGAACCTGAAAATTCAGTGCTTTTATGCTTTCGTTCAGTGAGGGGGTCAATGTGTTAGTGAAGAGATGTTTGATTTCAGTCCCCTATCCTATCATCAAGTCAGCTTTCAGAATAAAGAATGGTGTGCGTAATATTGCCCATGTGCTTTCTTTCAAAGAATTTGGAAAACACTTGCCCTCAGAGGCCTGAAATCAATTTTATCAGAAATTTTAAAATGGGCCAAAAGGGGCTCAGCTTAAACCAAGTCAAAAGAAGGGGAAGAGGTCAAATGACTGATCCCAATTAAAAATGTATATATGTGCCATGCTCTCTACATGCTATGTTGTAGTTTGGGAATTCTTGGGAATAGCCTTTGGCAGTGTAACAGGTAAATAAGCTTCAAATTTGACCTTGGTTTATATTTTTCCGTGGATTTCCAGGCACCTGCTATATTGTCTTCTGCAGCTAAATAGTAAAGAGTTTAGGATCATTAAAAACAATACCTTATTGAGTTCACCTTGCATGTCAGATTTAGTGGCTGAGTCCAGAGAAACCCGGAGATGGCAGAGAGGTGGTGGCTGTACCCAAGGAATGTCCTCCCTCAATGACCGAAGAACTGGACCAGCACTCACCTAACTGGGTAGTTTCAATGGTGCTCACAGGGCAAGGGCCATCAACAGATGCTAAAACAGTGAGGAAAGGCTGATATGTAATAGATGATTGGGAAGTACCTAAGTAACACTCCATATACAACTTAATCTTTATATAAGAAGCGTGCAGCTTTACAATGGAAAAACCTGACTGCCACTGAGTGAGTAAACTCACCTTCACTAAGAGCAATTTAATCAGACATTACCTGCCTCCTGTTGTGATGTGAAATGAAATTCAGTGCCACCCATGAATGTGGCTTGCTTAAAATATTCTAAAATGAATCAAATCTTAAGCTCTACATTCCAGATGGCAGGAAATACAGGGAATAGGTAAACAAGTTAAAAAACACCATAAGAAGACAATTAGACAAATTCAGAATGTGGGACATTTGTACTAAATAAAATAGCTTGGACTCTTCATCTAGGTAACATTATGAAAACAGAAGGAAGTAATGATTCTTGATTAAGGAAACTTAACAAATTTAGCATTATATGAAATGTGTGCTTCTTGGTTAGAATTAGAGTTTTTTAAAAAACCCTAAACTATATAAAAAAATTTTAAGAACAAGGAGGTAAGTTTGAATATAATCTGATTGCTATATTATATTAGAAAATCACTTAATTTTGTTAGATTTTAAAATGGTTTTGTGGGCATGTGGGAAAATGTTTTTGTTTTGGGAGATGCATGATGAGCTATTTATAGATGAAATGTCACAATGGTTTATCAAAAATATAGGTAGGTAGATAGATGGATATAGATAAATGATAGAAAAATAATAGGAAGATAGATGAAGCAAAAGTGGCAAAATTCTAAAAATGTTGAATCTTGGTATTAGGTTCATTCATTTGCCATTACTTTTAATGGCAAAACTGCAATCACTTTTGCACCAACCTAATAAAGATATGAGCAGTCATTATAATATAATGTCTGCTTTTCTCTATATTTACAGATTTTCATAATAAAAAGTTTTTTTTTTA
Organism: Homo sapiens; assembly: GCF_000001405.40. NCBI lineage: Eukaryota > Metazoa > Chordata > Mammalia > Primates > Hominidae > Homo > Homo sapiens. The sequence continues at coordinate 87,612,515 of NC_000015.10, read as the reverse complement.
AAGTACTGTCTGTATCAGGTGACCTCAAAATCCCTGGGGAAAAGAGAAAGAACATTTTATTGCTTTAAATTTTTTTAATGCCAAAATGGAAGCAGAAAGAGTTAATTCGGGTCACTTATTCAGAGATTTAGAAACAAGGTATGGTTGTGGATTTTCTGGAGAGTCACAGGAGGCCTACTGTTTGGGTGAAATGTTTCAGTTTTTCTGACAGTTCTCATCTATATGTTTTCTCCAGATATTTCACTGCTCATGTTTCTTTGTCTCATAGCAGAGTGCTGAAGTAGAAAATGCATGCTATTTAGAGCAAGAAGTTGTGGGTTTGAATCCAAGCCTGTCACTTGTAGCTCCTGGATCTGGGGCAGAATAACATTTTAATATTCACTTTCTTAAACTATAAACATTGGATATTAAAATTATTTGCTTCCCAGAATGACCGTGCAGCTAGGAGAATGCTTTGTAGAATCGGCATCTATATTGCATAGGCTGAAATGTACCCCCATTTCACATTCCTATGTTGAAACCTAACCCCCCAGCACTTCAGCATGTAACTGTATTTGGAGATAGGGCCTTTAAAGAGGTGATTAAGTGATCCAATGTGACTGCATTCTTATAAGAAGAGGCATGTTGGACACACTGAGAGACACAGGGATAGGGGCATACACACACAGAAGAAAGACCGTGCGAGGACACAGTGAGCAGGCGGCTGTCTGCAAGCCAAGGAGAGAGGCCTCAGAGGAACCTTCTGACACCTTGATTTTGGACTTCCAACCTCTAGAACTGAGAAAATAAATTTCTGTGGTTGAACACCCAGTGGTATTTTGTTATGGTAGACTTAGCAAGTTAATGCATATGTACCATGTGCATTGTCGTTTTCTTTTATTCTCTTTAATTGCTATGCAATACTGTTACCTTCCAAGACCAGTATTTTTTTTTTCCTTTTGTTTCTGATACAGCTCTGTTATGGACCCTATCCATCCTAGCAGCCTTACTCAAAGGATGACCTCAGGAAATGCATAGTCCTTCCAGGGTCCCTAAATCTCTTGATGGGACAATCAATAGTAGATTTCAATTCTCACTAAAAGTATTTTTCAGTTTGTCACTCAGTCATTTTCAAATGTTTAATGAGTGCCTACTATGTGTCAGGCTGTCATGGGCACTTGAATAGTTAAAAGAAGAGAAATCAAAATTAGTGCCAAATTACTCTGCAGCCATTAGACAGGAAGGGTTACAGAACGTATTTCCTTCTAAGCATTTTGGGGAAAAAAATACAGTTTCCACTAATTCTAACTACTCCTCTCCCTCACTCAAATGGTTCTACCACCACCACCATTTGAAATGTGTACAGTCTTATTTGGAGTGCAAGCAGTTGGAATATCAATCAATTAATACATCATTTGATCAGCAAATATTAATGTTCCATATGAAACAGCAACAACAAACAAGAGTATAAGGCAGGGAACTTGCCCTCAGGGAACTTCTACAAATTTCTGAGAGATGCAAGATAGAAAATTAGAAGAGATGTCACAAGGCAAGACATGTATATTTAGTGCCATGCCATCACTGGGTTGATTACCTCTTGGTTACTTTTAACTTGATTTCCCCAAGCTCTTATTACTTTACTCTTTCTGCTCCCCCACTTCCTCCTCCCTTCCTTTTGTGTCTGGCAGTATCATTGGCTCCTCCCCATTCTCCTGTTAATATTGAACCATAGTGTCTTTCTACCACCTTCCATTCTACTCATGTAGCTGTTAAAGGTACACATACATCTCAAAGCTGTGGTGACAAATATGAGAAAATGAAATTGAAGGGCTGATTTCAAAAGAAATGAAGGCCAGAATAACCCAGAGTAAAAAAAAGGTCGTAGCATTAGGTCATAGCAGCCAGAAGCAGCCCATGCAGGAAAAAAAATCGTTGGAGCGCAAGGGTGGTTGAAAAGAGAACTTGAAATAAGCATTTATATTTATCTTTGTTAACGGCCGGAGAGTGCAAGGGTTCTGGAGAGGGCCAGCACTATCACTGCAATGTACGGAAGCTGAGTCACCATTTCGGCATAGGGATCGTTTTTTAAAACTGATAAGGAAGGGTTTGTGAATGACTTCTGTTTCTGAATCAGAATTAGAAATTAGAAAGGGTGCATAGTTATTACTATTCACATGGTAATAGCAATCACATATGCGTGGTAATTAGGTTGTCAATTTGGCATTAGCAGGTAAGAAAAAGGGTAAACTTGCTGGGGTGCGTTAGACTACAGTTGGGGCAACAGAAGCTGAATGTAGAGTACAAATCATTCCTGTGCCTCACTAGGGATGCCCCTGCCAAAGGGGAAGGGAAGCCCGGGCCTGACAGGCATGGGATCCTGGGACAAGGGCCACTCAGTCAGGACCCATCACACACCAAGAAGGCTCATTCCCAATCTCTTTCTCTCACTCACTCTCTCTGGCTCAACAGTGACCCCTCTTTTCAAATATATGTCTTCTTCCTGTTCCACTCTACTCTCTATAGCCCGGTTTCCTTGGTCTCCTCTTATTTTTCTGCTCTCATTCCCAATCTCTTTCTCTCTCACTCACTGTCTCCGGCTTGGTAGTGATCCCTATTTTTAAAAATGTGTTAAATATATGTTTTGCTGCAGTTCCACTTTCCTTTCTATAGCCTGGTTCCCTTGGTCTCCTCTTATTTTTCTGCTCTCTTAAATCTTCAGTACACACAGGGCGTTGCTTTTCTTGGTGCTGACTGCAGCTCTAATTCTACATAACCCTTGGACTAGCATCTCTGCAACTGGGTGGGTCAATTCCCCAGTGATCCAATCACAAATCCCCAGACAAATTTGCAGAGTCACAGCTTATGGAAAATTTAGGCTCTGAAGTCTGCTTGTGAGACAAAAAGTAGACTTGGCAAATCTCTTTAGAAGCACTTCACTGGAAACTGACACATTGCTTCTTAGTGAGTCAGATCCAGCTGTGTTATCCTCTAGTATTGGGCTAGCATGATTTCCTGAGTATGAGATGAAATTGTTAGTTTCCCTTTAGTAGGCAAAGTTTATGAAACACGGGCATTGTAAACAGGAGCAGGACCCTTAGCTTGGTGAGATGCCTGTATTCTCAGAGGTGCTTAGAAAACAACACAGACTTGGGGGGGAACAGTGTGTTCATATCAGCTATATCTCCTTAATGAATGGGATGGTGCTAGGAATCTCCTATGCAACTACAATTATTTTTCTTTTTCTGTGTCTCCCTCCACCTTAATGTACACATTTGCATACCTTAATGTGATGTGAGTCCACTCTAATGGACTCCATTTACTCAGGAGTCTACCTTGTGGCTGAGCAAAATGAAGGTGAGCGCTCAGAGGCCTGGCAGATGATTCAGCAGTGAATCAAAAAGGAGAGGTTCACAGACAGGTTGGAAATGGGGAGCAGCACCCCACATAAACCTCTTAGAATGATGCCAGGAGAGTTTTTATTAGGGGATAATGAAGTCTGACTTTGTGGATACCAAGTGACTACTAGCAGATAGATTCTTCTAAGGGTGATGAGTTGGGGGTGGGGGTGAGTGATTATCCTAATTGTTCTTATTCTTAAAACAGACTAAGAACGCTTATACCTGGCCTCTTTTCCACTCTCAAAAGCCAGTTTCTCAGAATTCAAACTAATAACTGTGTGTAAGTTTAGATAAGTAGAAGTCTCATGTAAGGCTATTCAGCACAGCAACTGTGAATCCAGATGCTGAGGTTGGATAGACCTGACTGCCACATGCGCTGTAATTTTAGACAAATTGTTTAACCTTTCAAAGCCTCAGATTTTCCACTATAAAGTGGGCATTGTTAAGACTTACCATCCAGTGGTCTTGCAAGGATTAAGTGAGATAATGCACAATTCCTGGCACATCATACATGACAGTATGCATCAGAGTTCATAGAAACTAATTTGAGCCTTGGCGTCTGTGATGGTCTTTGGAAAATAAGGAAGAGGACAGGAGACAGGCAGATGGTTCAGGAGACCGGGCAGGACAACGTTTGTGATGTGCTTCTCTGTGCAGTTTCACTGGCCCTGTGCTCAGAAGGTCTTATCAGGCAGGACATGCCATAAGTTTAAAGGGCCGCCAGGGGCCCATCTGAGGCTAAACCTTTCTTTGTGCAAAGTTAATCCCTGACAGCATAGAAAAGCAATGAGAAAAAATTGCCAAAGGAAAAAAAATGTGACTTAGTGAGTGATGGAAATAGAAAGGGGTGGGGGGAAGTAAGAGAAAAGCAACAGCTCTCCAAGGACTCCAAGGAGGGAGCTGGAAAAGTGTGGTACATGAACAGACACTGGGAGGGCAAGAGAGGGCTTACCTGTTTAAATAAATCAGAGCTGGCATTTATTATAACGATTGCTAGAGACAATAAATACAAATCACAGATCAGGCCAGGTACGGTGGCTCATGCCTGTAATCCCAGCACTTTGGGAGGCCGAGGTGGGCGGATCACGAGGTCAGGAGTTTGAGACCAGCCTGGCCAACATGGTGAAACCCCATCTCTACTAAAAATACAAGAAGTAGCCAGGTGTGGTGGCGTGCACCTGTAATCCCAGCTACTCAGGAGGCTGAGGCAGGAGAATCGCTTGAACCCGGGAGGCGGAGGTTGCAGTGAGCCGAGATCGTACCACTGCAATCTAGCCTGGGTGACAGAACAAGACTCCGTCTCAAAAAAAAAATCAATCAATCAATCACAGACCAGCTATTATGGATGATATTACAAAGACTGTACTAATAGCAACTGCCTGTGGTACCTTTAGTGTCCTTGTCTTCTGCTCTTCCTTGCTATCCCTGGTGACCTGTTTGGAAGATTTGAATCAGCCTTTCAGGGGTTTTTCCTGAGTCTCCCATTTCTCTCGAGCACTCCCCTCCTACCTACACGTTTGTCTCCTAGCTTTCACTCCACCTCACCACTGCACACACCCTTGCACACAGAGACATACATGTTCACTCACACATACATGTGCCCACTCTCACTTTGGGCGCTTCTCAGATTCACTGTATTTACTTGGCGAGCTCTTTCTTCAACATGTTCATAGGAGGCCATTTGGCCTAAGATGTGTTTCCTTATACCAAATGCCATCTTCATCAAACCTGCATCTCTAATTCACCTTCACAGAAAATCTCTCAGGCCTCATCTATAGCAATCACCATTCACTTTTTCTACTCCCACAGCTGGGTGCTTCATAGTTACTGGAACTTAATAAATATGAAATAGTTGGAATAATTGACCCCTTATCACCATTTATCAGAAGCAGCTTTTCCTACCTCTCAGTCTTCCCTTAAAAGGAAGGGCCTGCCACTCAGGCCTTCCAGTTCTCTAAGCAAGAAAAGCAAAGTCCCTGGAGATGATAAACTGTTCCAAAAGCTTCAGCCCTCACATGCCTGCTTCCCTCTTTGTGAGTGTAGAGAAGAATGAGAAGCAGCCCATTAATTCAGCAGTAATACAGTGTTTTCCTTTGCAATGTCCTTGATTTTATTTTGTAGTGATTCTTCAACATCACAGGTTAAAGAGGTACGTTTGCTATGGGATGTCTCTAGGCAAATCGAGTGAGCAAAACTATTTAGTCCCCTCCTCTTTGTCCTTACTGAATCTCTTCCTTTTCCTTTAACACCACTAGATCCTCCGATTTCCTCTCTAGGCTCCACTCTCTCAGTTTGCCTTAGCGTATGCATCTGATGGGTTCTAGTACCTGGCATTGGCTTATGGCCAGCTTTTCAAACACATCTATCATTCTCAGTGCTCTGATGAGACACATAGGGCAGGTATCATCATCATCATCAACATCATCTTATAAAATCTCGATCATTTTACAGTTATGAAAACTGAGACCAAAGTAATTGGGATAAATTAATCAAAATGCAAATTCAGACTTCCGATCCAGATTTTTTCCTCATTGATTTCCTTCATCTTTAATGCTGAAGGCAGAGATGGCAAATATATGGCGTTCTTGTAGCCACTTTCTACTCTGGTACCCACTATAACTGTTCTAGTTTTCTTGTTCCTTCCTAAAGTGCCTTGGATGGCTTAGAAACACTTGTAATATTGTTCTGGATAATCACTATCAATTGAACAAAGATGGCAAGTAAATTAACACACAATTTTCACTCTTAGCCGAGGTCAGAACTTCCCAAGTGATACTGGAAGTAAGAATTCTACAGAGCAAAGGCTTTCAAATGTCATAGGATGACTTAGTTGGAGGAGCATCAGGGGCAAATGCAAGGGAACTAATTTGTTTTTTGAGATGGAGTTTCACTTTTGTCATCCAGGCTGGAGTGCAATGGCCTGATCTCGGCTCACTGCAACCTCCGCCTCCCAGGTTCAAGTGATTCTCCTGCCTCAGCCTCCAGAATAGCTGGGATTACAGGTACCCACCACCATGTCTGGCTAATTTTTGTATTTATAGTAGAGATGGGGTTTCACCAGTTTGGCCAGGTTAGTCTTGAACTCCTGACCTCAGGTGATCCACCCCTCTTGGCCTCCCAAAGTGCTGGGATTACAGGCGTGAGCCACTGTGCCTGGCTACAAGGGAACTAATTTTAATGAGTGCCTATGATTTTTGTAGACTTCGTGTTAATTCTGCTTATAACCTATTGAGATAAGCAATGTTATTTCTGGTTTTCAGTTGAGGAAACTGAGGCTTAGCGTTGAAGTCACTTACCCAGACATGGAGTCAAGCAAGAGATGGAGTCTGAATTAGAGGCAACATCTGAGCCAGAAGCTCTGCCATAAATCTGCCCTCACCCACTCTCTTCCCAGCCCTTCAAACTGAACTTCTTTTCATCTTATTGTAATAGCATGCATCTCAACATTAAAAGAGAACAGCTATAGAAAAAAAATATGGGGCAGAGAAAAGAGATAAGTACAGTCACAATGTCAGGATTTGTTGTTTGTGATCTTGTGTATAAAGGTATGAAGCCAGAATTAGCTCTTTTTTCCCCAAGAACTGTGTGTGTTTAAGTATTATCCTGCACAAGTATGTAAATTTTTAAAACCCATTTCTCAATCCTTTTTCTATTTCCTTGAAGATACCCTTATAATACCATGCATGTGTGTGTGTGACAATTTTCCCTTTGCTGCTCTGCAGTTAGTGGATCAGGATCAACGATTGTGGCAGGAGGAAGAGGAGGAATAGAAAAGAATATCAAAGGCTGTATCAGCCGCCCAGTATTGATTAAACACTTTCTGTGTATCTTCCATTGTTCTAGGCACTGTGGGCACCACAGAGAGTGTAAGACAGGGTCACTTCTTTCTGAGACATTATAATGAGCTTAATTTCAAAGACCTTAATATCTGGTAGAAAAAAATAATGTCTGAATTAGGAAAGTAATAGAATCACAAAAAGCTAGGAGTTGAAAGGGACTTTATATTACTTGCCGCTGCATCCCTCACTGATGGATGAAGATGAAATTGTATTTTTGCGGCTTCACCGACAGGGGGCTCATGCTCCCTTGTAGTGGCACATCTTTACTCCATCACTTGTGCCTGATGACCCTAGTTCTGCTGTCAGGGCAGCTTAGTAAACGTCTCTTTCTTCTCATAAGAATGCCTGATAGATTAGAGGGTGGCTACTATCTCTTCCCTTAGCTGCTTTTTTTCTATCTACTCTTTCTGCAACCATTTCTGTGGTCATGTTTCAGAAACTTCACCATCCCTCCTCTGGATCCCCCCTAGTTAGTGTTAACAAGACTACTGAGAAAGAAGTATTGGGTTAAGAGAGACTTCATTTCTTTGTGCAGTTTGCAAACCAAAAATTTGATAAAGACTTCAGTACAAAACAAAGATGCATTCCCAGAGAACAAAGAGAGGGTTATGTTTTATAGAAAAAGTTCCCACATGGGCCCACTTATGCAAATGAGGGATGCACACTTGCTTAGTCCTGATTGATTGATGCTCATTGACTTCTGATTGGTGGATGCAGGTCACAGCCTATAGTTTGATTCAGGCAGCATAAACAGAAAAAGACAACTTTGAAAGTCCCAAAGTTATGTGTGTGTGGGTTTTCCTGGGATGCTGAGTACCTGTGTGACCTTTCTTCAGCAAATGGCTGCTTGGTTGTATTTTACATTTAGGCCCAGTTCGCCACTCAGGATCCATCTTTAAGGATTCACTCTTTTAGAGTTTATGTTGGCCAGAATCCTCCTTAAATATGATTGAGGGAAACAAGTGTAATCCTCCAAGATTGGCTGACTCGGGTAGAAGATGCTGCACCATTTTTCCAGCTCTGAACACTCTGCCTCTTTTATTGCGGGCTAAGTTTGTGGTAATATTTTAGCAGCTGCAGAATACCATTGGCACCCATTAAATGCATGCTGGTAAGCTTCAAATTATTTCCTTGGGGATGGATGTCAGGTTAAAGGCATTTTAGGGTAATTTTAAAGTATTTTAAGGAAGTTAGTCATCAAACTTGAGTGCTAATTCTGGTTTTACTACTATTTGGCTGTGAATCCTTGGGCAAGTCCCGTTTTCTGGGCTTCAAGTTAATATCCCTGTTAAATAAGGCAATTGAACTATTAATATATGATCTTTCAAGTCTCATATACTATTAAATTTCTGAGCGAAGGCTAAATTCCATCTCCTGTAAGAACAATTGCATTTTCGAACCCACATGCAAAATTTCACATTTGCCCCATTACGTTTGTCCCATTTATTCCAGAATGTTTTGGCCCAGGTTTCCAAGCTTTTAAGAACTTTTTGAATTACAAGCCCATAACTGAATGCATTGACTCTTGTGCTTCACAATGTTTCATTGGTAACAGATCAGCTGTTTAAGAAGCTCTTTTAGAATATTGTCTGACCAACTTCCTTCCTGATCTTGACTCTTTTCAACCTGGATTTCTCAACTCAGCCTATTCTTTGCTACCAATACTCCTTAGTTTATTAGCTGGCACTTTCTAGAACCTACCCTTTGCTGTTTTTGAGAAATTATGATTAAAATTATGTCTTTAGTCTTCAGGCTTATCTCCTTTTCACCCTTCTCAGTTCCTCAGAGTTCCCTGATTAAAATTTCGCACGTCTACAAATTCTTGATTCATGTGTGATAAACATTTTGTCATTTAACTTTTGGCTGTCCAGCATTCAGTTCTTGTTTTTGAAGAGTTCCCTTGTTGCACATATTAGTGGTAGATTGCAGTACCACACACCTTCCATAATGGAAGTCAAAGTGAGAGCTCTCTCCTCTCAGCACCACAGCCAGTATAGAAGTGCACTCCCTACACAGTCAGGTATTGCTGTTCAGGGCTGATTCTGGATAAAATGATACAAAGATGGAGGAATGTTTGAGGTGAGTTTCCAACAGCTGTTATGGTTTTCCTTGGTGGCTGTAGCTGTCTCCAGCTTGAGGTTGTCTTTACCAAATCTCCTATAACACAGATGCTATATATCCTGCTATTGATTTTCAAGAGGTCTTGCCATTTTCTAAGCCTTCATCCTCATCTTCTCAGTTTTATGAAACTCCCCTATATTTCCAATAGATTCCTCCTATAATTAAGTTAGTCAGAGATTGTAATTACTATTTGTAACAAAGAATCCTGATAAAAACATCTCTGTAGACACTGCAGGATGTAATCATCACCAAGACACTGCCACCCAAGAACATCTCTTCTTGAAGAAGATTGTGTGTGCAAAACACTGGCTACATGTGCATACCCCCTGGGCACATAGGCCCAAACTGCCCCCTTTGTGAGCCTTGCTTCTGCTCAGGCTTGGCATTCCCAAGTTAACCCATCTCTGACTTTGTTTTCCTGTTCCCCACTTTTTGGACTACTATGCTGCTGTTTCTTTCTATGTGTATGGTGGTCTTGAGCCAACCACAGTCTCAGCCTTGACCCATCCTTGTTCCAGGCTTCCTTGTGCTGTTTATCACTTACTTCACTTTCCCAAGAACAAGAATACCACAGCTGTCCTTCTGGCCTGAATCGGGTCTCTCTTCATTACTCCTTCCCTTGGCAACATCAACCAGTTGTGTAGTTTTAAATATCAACCTCTTGACAGTGATTCCAAACTTTACATCCCCAGCCCTGACCTTTACCCTGAATTCCAGCCTTCTGTTTCCAACTGCCTGATCCACATTTCCAATTAGTTATATGATAGGCCTCTGAAACCTAACATACTTTAAATTAAGCTTACAGACTCTGCTCCTAATCCTGCTGCTACCACAGCTGCCTCTGTATCAGTGGCTGGCTACTCTCTCCTTCCATTTCCTCTGGCAAAATGCTTTAGGATTATCTTTACCTGTTCTTGTTCTCTTACACCTCACATTGGATCTCTCTGGAAAGTTTGTTGGATAAATCTTCAAAATATATCCATAATTTAATTTATAAATTTAGTATAATACCTCTCCAAATACCATTAGATTTATTTCAAAGGCTAGCTAAGTTGATTATAAATTTACTTGGCAAAACAACAAGCAATAGAATCTCTTCTGAAAATGAACAATAAAATTATGTTAGTTCAACCAGATACTAGAACATGTTCTTAAAACCTTTACAAGGAAAACAATGGGGATTGATGCATGAATAGCACAAAAGACATTAAAACAGAATAGAAAATCTAGAAATAAACCACATTTTATATAAATTTTTTAAATACAATGAAACTAGCACCCAAATCAGTGGAACGGAGAGCAAACCTGTTGGAGGGAACAGAGATAAAAGCGAGATGTCTTTAAATATGCCTTATTTTGTATATTTGACATCAAAACTAAATAATATCCCATGTAATGACAAAACCAAAATAAAATAGAAATAAAGCAATTTCTAAAATTAAGAAGCAAAATAAAACCAATAAACCTTAAAATGTCTTGTATTTTTGACATAACTATACAGAAGGGAATTATTTCAAAAGAATTTAAAACAAATGATTTTTGTGCTACACTCAAAGCACAAAATAAACATACAAAAAGCTACCTTAAATTAGTTTTCATAATTGTGTTGCTAGTACGATATTGGTAGTGTTTTAAAACACACTTATATATACACTTTTACATAGATGGTAAGATGATGAGCCTGGAGCAATCTGCTATACAGAAAGCCAGCAAGCTATCAAAGACTGCTAAGAGAATATCAAAAGGAGACAGGATCCCACTTAAAGATGCTCCCTTTGACCAAATATCGGGCATTTTCAACATCAAAAAGAATAATCAAATTTCTGCTTCTAGGAATGTATAATAGATTGACTTTTCCGTATTCCTTCTGCTAAGCGCAAGTAAAAACACTGGAATTGTATTTTAAAAATCCATAAAACTCTAAAAGATGGAGAGAAGAAGTTAAACTTACTGGTGACCTCCGGACCAAAGGAACAACATTGTCATGAGTGCCGTGGGTTTTCTTTTTGCCTCATATATCCTAGATTTGGAGGCCAAGAAAACAGTAACTTGAAAGAACCAATGAGTGCAAGCAAAAAAGCTGCCCATCTCCAAAACAGAAAATACAAGGAAAGAATTAAGCCCTAGTGAACCTACAATTACATTTCAAGTAAATGGTCTAAATACACCCATTCAGAGATTGGCAGAAAAGAAAAATCATATGACTATATTAATTGAAGCAGAGTATGTAACAGAAATGTGCAACAAAATTAAATGCATATTTATGATTAGAAACTCTAAGAGATATAGAGGGGAATCTTATTCAACTTGATAAAGAACAGCTGCGAAGAACTGAAGTTAACATTATATTTAACAGTGAATGATGGAATGCTTTCTGAGTTTAGGGACAAGGAAACCATGTCTGCTTTCACCACTCTTATTAAACCTAGCATTGAAAGTTCTAGTCATTTCAATGTAGCAAGAAAAGGAAGTAAAATCATATAGATTGGATAGAAATTATACACACACACACACACACACACACACTTTTTTAGTTAGCATATGACATAATTGTGTAGAATATCCCAAACAACCTGTTGGAACTAATAATGAGTTTAGCAAAGTCACGGAATACAAGATAAACATATGCAATTCAGGTAGGTTTTAGCAATAAACATGTAGACACCAAAATTTAAAATACAACTCAATTTATAGTTGCTCAAAAAAAGAGAGAAACACTTATGTGTAAATTTACCAAAACATATACTAATATTGCGTGTTGAAAAATACAAAATGCTGGTGAAATAAACCAAAGAAGATCTAATCAAATGGAGATACATACCATTTTCATGGATTAGAAGACTCAACATGATAGTGTTAATTTTTCCTAAATTGATATAAAAATTTAATGTAATTACCATTAAAATCTCAGGAATTTTTTTGTATCATAGACAAGATTATTCTAAAATTTATACAGTAATACAAAGGACTAGAATAAAGAAATAATTTTGTAAAAGACAAATAAAAGTGAGAGGAATCAATCTACCCAATCTCAACACTTGTTATGTAGCTACAATTCTATGTAACATTGACAGAAGGACAGACACATGGATTAATGAAACAGAGTAGAAAACCTAGATATACAATGCACAAAAATGCCCAATTTATTTTTGACAATGGTGAAAAAGTAATTATATGGCAGTGAGATAATTTCTTCAATGCGTGCTGGGGTAATTTACACACCCATAACCAAAAAAGAAAAAAATCAAAATACAAACAAAAATGCTTGTGGGGATGTGAAGAAACTTGATCACTCATACATTGCTGGTGAGATTACAAAATGGTACAGCCATTCTGAAAACAATTTGGCAATTTCTTTAAATAAATTAACATGCAACTACCATATGAATCAGCAGTTGTATTCTTGGGCATTTATCCCAGAGAAATAAGAACTATGTCATACAAAAATCTAGACACAAATATTTATAGACGCTCTATTAATGACGTCTCCAAACTGCGAACAACCCAGATGTCCTTCAAAAGGTAGATGCTTAAATAAACTCTGACATCCACACCATGGGATACTATTCAGCAATGAAAAGGAATAAACTTGATATACACAACAACCTAAATGAATTTTCAGGGAATTAGTGCTAAATGAAAAAAAAACAGTCTCCAGTGGTTATCTATTATATGATTCAATTCATATAACATTGTTGAGATAATCATAGAAAAGAAGACTAGCTTAGTGTTTGTCAAGGATTAAGGCAGGAGGGAGGGCAGGAGGTGAATGAATATGTCTATACAAGGAAAACATGAAGGGATCCTTGTGCTGATGAAGATGTTCTATATCAGGAGTCTATCAATCTCAGTGTTCTTGTTGAGATATTTTACTGCAGTTACGCAAGATGTTTATCACTGAAGATAACTGGGTAAATGGTGTATGGACTATCTGTATTATTTCTTATAACTGCATGTAATTTATAGTTATCTCAAAAAGTTTGATTAAAAAGAATAATTATAATACAGTAAAATACATCAAATATTTAAAATCCATAAGTTCTTAATGATACAGAAACAAAAATCACATTGGCCTCCTTTGGAGGATGCTAGAAAAACATGATTCTGAAAGCTGGTGAAAATAAGGCATATAAGCATCTGTCTACTTTTTCTGTTTAAGTTTTACCTCAAAGTAATCAAGTGCTTGATAAGGAACATTTTCTCTTTTAGAATTTAATAACAAATAGGCAAAAAAGAAATAACACTGTTACAATATTACTAGTTTGTAACCCTGAATAAATAAAGGATGAATGCAGTGCTTCTTGATGTCTTTTAAGAGCATCAAGTGAAAAGTGAGGAAGAAATTCGTGATAGACCAGTGTGACAATATCTGTATCCACTGTTCAACCTTAACATAAAGGAGAATAAATCAGACATTAAGCACCTTCCCATGAAAGTATATAAACCATCTATGAAGTATTCTCCCAAAAAAAAAGAATCTTATCAAGGATCTAAATCTAATTGCCAGTTTATGAGACATGTAGAAGTCAAAGAAATACATTAAACAACAGGACATATTCAGCAAAATCTAGAATGTGGGAAAATCTACAATAATAATAACCTGGTTTCTTCAAAAATAAATTTAAAGAAAGTTCAAAAAGCAAAAGAGAAATCTCTAGGTGATCAAATCTTAGGAGACATCAAAGAAACCCAATGCATGGAGCTTGTGTGAATACTAATTTCAAAAAGAATTGTAAAAACAAATTATGAGACAATAAAGGAAATCTCAGTGCTGATTAGATATTTGTTGCTGTTAAGGAATTATTGTTAAGTTTTTCAGATGTGAAAATGGCAATATGCTTATGTTTTTAACATAATGTGTCTCTAAAAGTTTTGAACAATATGTGTGGATTAGTATTTGCCTCTCACTAATTCAATAGTAGGAAAAAATGAGTATAGAAAAAGCAAGAAGCAAGATATGCCATGAGCTGAAGTTTTTTGACAGACAGTCACTCTACTTTTCTATTGTTGCCATTTTTGTATATGTTAAATGTGTGTCCAGAAGGCTTTACTTCCTCTACTGCTAACCTTCTGGTACAGTCTACCTTCATTTCTAACTGGAAGCATTGTAGCATAATCCTAACTGGTCTATCTCCTGGCTTCGACCTTTACCCTTCTTCCATCTCCTTGCATCTGTCTGCAACACAGGAGTCATGACAATCGCTTTAATACCCAAGTCAGATCCTGTTGTTTGTTTCTCTGCTCAAGACAGTGCTTTATATCACTAGGAGTAAAAGTGAAAGTCCTTACACCAGCCTATAGGGACTCTGCTCTGCACCATTGGCCTCTGGTAACCCTCTGATTGGCTCACTGCCTTTTCATCTCCTTCCTTATCTGATGCCACAGTCCTTCATTTGCAACATTTGTTTTGGCCTTTCCTGTTTGCAGATCACTCTCTCAGACTGGAGAAAGGGTAAGAAGAGGTGTATACAGATTTCTGCCAGGGTCCTCTTATAGGTTAATAATATACCATCTCCATCCAAGTAGATGCTTGTAACTCCCTGGTTCAATTGCCTTCACCAAATGAAGCTTCAAAGTTTCTGTTGTCTGGTTGTGGCATTTTTGACAGTATCAGTTTGCTGTGGTTTGGCCCCAACACCACATCCTCATGGGGTTGTTGTACTCCTGTTTTATGTGTCTCTTAGCTCATACATCCTTTTGCCCATGTTTTTATCTTTGGCCTTTTGCAATCTGAGCTTGTCAGAGAGCCTCTGTGAAATGACACTTGTTACTTTAACAGCATTTTTTTATCTCATTAGAATTGTTCATAATTGTCTCATCACAATTTCTCTTCTTGGAAATCCCTATTTAATGCCATCCATGTGCTCCCATGGATTCTCTGACCGTGGGAGATTTGCTACCATTTGTTCGAACTCTGAAGTTTCAAACCCAAGACAAAGAATTAAATATTGTTTTGAGTACGTGCTGTGTGCCAGGCACTGTGCTGGATTTGTCACATGCACCATTTCATTTAGTTCTAAGGATAGTTATAGTAACAAACAGAATCATTTGTATTTCCTTTAAAATCAACAACAAAAGGAAATTTGGAGTCTGCCAGTAAATGACTGAAGCTGATGTATAAACCAAGCAGTAGAATCAGAATTCGGATTCAAATCTGGGCTCCAAGATGCAGATCATTAAGTGGTACACTTGAAGAATGTATTTCCTCTCTGTTTCAAAAAGAAGTTAAAACTTACTTTTCCCCCGATCTTGTCTCTTCTACTTCACCAGGTATGTCTTCCCATCAGTCAGCCCAGAATCGTAATTCCTCTATTTTTCTCATCCCCACTATTTCATTGATTCTTCTGATAAAATAAGTGAATTATCAATGATGTAGCACAAGGACTTACAAGATACCCCCCCACCCCACCTTTTTTTTTTTTTTGCAGAAATGGTCTTCTAGCCACTCATGGACAGTGAAAATACCTTCTTACTCCTTTATGTCTATTTGATAATGTATATTAAGAAGGAATAAGCTATATCTTTAGACTATGTGGGAGCATAGAATACTTGCATGGTATTGTATTTGTTCTCCCTTGTTTAAAAATAGAATCTAAGGCCAGGCGTGGTGGCTCACGCCTGTAATCCTAGCACTTTGGGAGGCAGAGGTGGATGGATCACCTGAGGTCAGGAGTTCGAGACCAGCCGGGCCAACATGGCTAAACCCCAACTCTGCTAAAAGTACAAAAATTAGCTGGGCGTGATGGCGGTCACCTGTAATCCCAGCTGCCTGGGGGGCTGAGGCTGGAGAATCCCTTGAACCCAAGAGGTGGAGGTTGCAGTGACCCAAGATTGTTTTATTGCACCCCAGCCTGGGTGACAAGAGCAAACTCCATCTCAAAAAAAAAAAAAAAAAAAAAAAAAAGAATATAAGCCCTCTCCCTCTCCACTGGGCTCTGTTTTTTCACCATGGATCTCTACTCTGTGGCATACTCTTTAGCTGCATACTCTTACTACCTCTTAAATGAGAATAGACATATCACAATTTTCAGTTAGTTTTTATTCTAAAACAGATTCTGAAGCTGCTGTCTTTAGAGTTATGTAGTGGAAAGAGTGCTGAACTCAGACAATCTGAATGCAGTGATAGTAGCTAATATTTATTGAGCACACACTATATGCCACACACAGCTCTAAGTGCTTTTCATCGATTATCTTATTTGAACCCCACAACAACCTATGAAGTAAGAAACTATTTTGTAGGTGAAGAACTGGATGGGTAGAGGGGCCAGGTAATGTTCCCAGTGTTGCATAGTAAGGAGTAGTAAAGCTAAGATCAGTGCTCTGTGGTCCAAAGCCAAAAGCTGAGCTCTTATCCACCTCTCTATTCTGTACTTCCTAGCTCAGTTATCACTAGTCTGATCCCTGGGGCAAATCACTTAACTTCTTTGATACTCTGTAAATGTCGACAATAACAATTTTCTCATCAATGAATATAAAAACTTTCAGTACACTGAAAGTCCTTTATAATCATAATGGATTACCATCACATGAAATTGACAATACCAATAATAACAATTGCAACACTTATTCGAGATATATTATGTCTCACCATTATCTATAGTATTTCAGAGCTCATTTAATTATCACATGGACTGTTTGGAGAAGATAGTGTTAGTCTTACAATTTTAAAGACAAGAAAAATAGATAAGAATGTGTAACATAATTTATAAAATTACATGCAGAAATACACATGCTTTGTGGATGTCCTATTTCTGACCATAAACCTTTAGAAAACCCCCAGTGGAGGCAAATAGTGTTGGCTCTTTCTTGGTGTTTGGATGATGCCATACACCCATGATTTCATTTTTTTCCATATGGGTCATGTCAGCAGGTGAGAGAGTCAGTGACAGGTGCCTCTTTCCCTACCCACCCGCCAATCCACAAAGCAATATGTGACTACACACAATTGTCTCTTAAAGAGTCAGGCACATGCACTGTCATCTCTCCAGGAAGTTTTTCAGCCTTGTCAGAGCACACTTTCAGTGACAAGACATAATGGACTTGGGGTTTCATTAAGTGCCAGAGAGCTCTGTGAAAAATGTGTAGACTTTTGTCTGAGCAAGAGCGATTTCAGACAGGAGGTAAGATTTACTTGACCAATAGAATGGATTAGAATACTTTTAGAATGAGGCCTTGTCCCTAGCCTTTTTTTGTTTCTTCTGTGCCATGAGGAAATACCCCTAAGGCCCCAGAATTAAAGAGGCAGGGAGGATGAGCAGGAAGGTATGGTCAGGGGACACAGCTCATGCAAGGAGGGTTCCAGCCCTCAATGGAAGGCTTTTTGGTCTCCCAGAGAAAGGGGATAACTTAAGATAAGCAGCTCAGTATGGTTAAGCATAAGGCACATGCTTTCCCACCTCTCAAAGTACAGATGGCCAAGAGGGATTTCCAGTTTTCTGGCAAGACCTGGTAACACCTTATCCGATCCTCCTGGAGGCAGGGAAGTAAAAGGTAGGGAAAACTTTGGCATATGTCCAGTGGAAGTCATGTACAGGGGAAAGCACAGTTAGAAGAGTCCATGCATGTGTGTTTACAGGAAATGATCATTTTCTCACTGTGAAGGAAACATACAAATAGTACCTCCTACCTAGGGTCTGTCTGTAAACTTTCTTCACCTTTATCTACTACTCATTCATTCAAGTCATTCGATCATTTGACAAACTATTTTCATCTCAGGTCTTCTGTATGAGCCCTGCTCTAAGTCCCTCCACATTATTGGCTTCTTTTACATGCCTGCTGTTCCTTATATAAGTCCTGATTATAGTACTCATGACCTGGTACTCTATTGATTGATAATTTACATGCCTGCCTGATTCTTTGGGCTGTGAAACCCTGAATACTACAGAAGTCATCTTTTATTCTGTATTTCAAGCACCTGGCCATGCCTGGCATCTAATAGGTTTGTCACTCAGTTGAGTTGAATAAATATTCATTTTGAAAGTCCCTTAGATACCACAGCTTGTGAGTGTTAGGGTAAAATTGCTTTCACAGTTTATTCCTAAATTCATTGGTTAGATCAGCACACACCTTTAAGGGGCAGGTCCCAGGATTCATCTCTTTCTTTTTTTTATTTACTTTTAATTTTTTTAAATATATATATTTGTTACTATACTTTAAGTTCTAGGGTACATGTGCACAACGTGCAGGTTTGTTACATATGTATACATGTGCCATGTTGGTGTGCTGCACCCATTAACTCGTCATTTACATTAGGTATATCTCCTAATGCTATCCCTCCCCCCTCCCCCCACCCCACAACAGGCCCTGGTGTGTGATGTTCCCCTTCCTGTGTCCAAGTGTTCTCATTGTTCAATTCCCACCTGTGAGTGAGAACATGTGGTGTTTGTTTTTTTGTCCTTGTGATAGTTTGCTGAGAATGATGGTTTCCAGCTTCATCCATGTCCCTACAAAGGACATGCACTCATCATTTTTTATGGCTGCATAGTATTCCATGGTGTATATGTGCCACATTTTCTTAATCCAGTCTATCATTGTTGGACATTTAGGTTGGTTCCAAGTTTTTGCTATTGTGAGTAGTGCTGCAATAAACATACATGTGCATGTGTCTTCATAGCAGCATGTTTTATAATCCTCTGGGTATATACCCAGTAATGGGATGGCTGGGTCCAATGGTATTTCTAGTTCTAGATCCCTGAGGAATCGCCACACTGTCTTCCACAATGGTTGAACTAGTTTACACTCCCACCAACAGTGTAAAAGTGTTCCTATTTCTCCACAACCTCTCCAGCACCTGTTGTTTCTTGACTTTCTAATGATCGCCATTCTATCTGGTGTGAGATGATATCTCAAAAGAAGACATTTGTGCAGCCAACAGATGCATGAAAAAAATGCTCATCATCACTGGCCATCAGAGAAATGCAAATCACCTCTTTCTTGATAGTCTCTGGAAGGGTCTCAAGTTGTCACTCTTGCGCCTGCCCGCGTGGCTTCCTCCTTGTCCACTGCCTCTGCTTTGTTGCTGCAGGCTAGCAGTGAAAGCCCAAGTTTCAGGTAGATGCAGATGACAGCAGGAGAGGGGAGGAAGAAGCAGAGTGCTAACTATCCCTGCTTGTTCTCTTTCACTCTTCCCACCATCTTCTTCCCTTTCACTGTTGCCAGTGGGGTGGAGGCTCGGGTCTTCAGTGGGCCCTGTCAGTACCAGGAAGCCAGGAGGAAGTAAAGTGAGACTAGCCCTGCCTTGCACCACCTTGGCCTGTTCTGTTGGTGCTAGATGAGGGTGAAGGCACAGCTCAACTCACTAATGCCCAGGGTAAAGAGGGCATGGAGCCCTGACTTGAATTGTCATGTTCAGTCTTATAGGTAGGTGGATCCCATTGATTCTACACTGGTGTGGGAATTAGTGTGCCTTTGTCTGTTTATATGGGGTCAGGGATGGGAGTGGAATAGAAGCTCAGCTCCTCTTGGTCCTGTCGACGGACTGTAGTTTTTTTATTGGAGTGTGGCTTGAGCAGGGCAGGTACTGCCATAATGGTTTTCTGTGATTAGATGACCCTTTTTCTGATCCTTTGGCTGAGGGAAACAGGATTTTCTTGAAGCTTTTTTGTCTGTGTCTGTGAATGGCTCTGACTTGGAGGGTTCTGCAGTGCCCTGTACAGGGTATAGGAGAGGCAAAGAAGACACCCAGGGAACTCACCACCTTGTTGCTCCTCAGGTCGAGAGCATTAGGCAGTCTGCCTTATTCTGTGCCCCTTAATGGTTTTCTGGTTGTAAGAGAGAGGCAATGGGGAAATGGAAATACTTCTTGGCCAGAACTAGTACTCATCCTAATGTCTAACAAATAAATGTAACAACTTGAAATTATGGCTCAACCTTGCAAACTACTATAAGCAATGTGAGCAAAGACTATCAGTCCAATTTCCTTGCAGTTCTAATTGTCGTGGGTCCACTGTCCTAGCATCCTACAAGATCTGGCCTCCTTGAGGGCAGATTCTGTGTTTTACTTATCTCTGGATTCTCCTGTCTAGCACTGTGCTGGGGAGGCCCAAGCCATTGGTTTTGAATGAATAAAAACAAAGCCTCCTTTAGCCACACTAGAAAAGGCTGCGTGTTAGCTACATTTCCTGATGTGCTTTTCCAGTCGAGAATCTAGATCGATTCTAACCTTCTTTGGTCCCCAGTGGATGTGCTACCTGGAGGCAAACAGGATATGCAGCTTCCTGCAGGTGACTGGGGACCCTGAAGCTGGCACACTCCGTAGGTGGCTCCAGGCTGCTGCATAGCATTGCATCCTGCCACACAGTCCTCCAAGTCCTTCAGGGGTGTGGTGTGGTTAACTCAGCAGGCAGAACAGCCTGACCCAACCCATCTGGTTATTATCCATATGAGGACAATTGGAGCCTCTTCTAATATCAGTGGCCATAGGGGGCCTGGAAGGCAATTTGCAGGTGGTGGGCCCCTGGCTGTAGTGTCACAGTTGTTGACAATAGACGCCACCAGGGGGTTGCCTTTCTAGGAGAGAGGAGGCAGAGAAGGAGAGAACCCAAGACAGTGATGGAGAGACAGGAAGGCAGAGAATGATAGGCCATGACAGAAAGACAGAGCAAGGAGGAAAGAGACAGAAGATGTTTTTCTTTCATCTTACCTTTTCTCCAGTGGGCTCTCTAGACCGCTCTGGGTGCTTTTGTCCTTCTCAGCATGAAATATATTTGGCTGCCCAGGAATAAAACATCAAAACCTACCATATAATTAGTTGTAGGAAATATTGATGGAACACCAGGAGCATTCTAGATGCTGTTGTGAGCCAAGGGAGGAGCCACTCTCCTATCCAGAGGGGCTGCTGCTATACTGGGCAGGGACGGGCTGTAGGGAGCAAGGGCCAGTTACATGCAGGCTAATACTTCTGAGACCTGAGTGACAGTATTTACTCCACTACTACTTGAGTCAGTGAGGCTATTATTAGCATTAAATAGGCAACATTAGAGGGGAAGAATGGAAACCACAGAAGGCCTGGTTTCAGCTGGTGGTGGGACACTAGTCAGGTGTAATAAAAACAAATTGTCTTAGAATTAGTAAGAAATGATAAGTTATTTTTGACTGTGATCCTTGGGACTCTGGGCTGTCACTCATAACACTGAATATCTTTCTCTCCAGGAAACAAGCACCTCCTCTTACTGCTTCTGCCTGCTGTGCTCTGAGCCTAGCCCTTGAAAAAGACACACATCCCCCCTCCAGTACCTTCTTCTTCTCTTTCTGCTGCTGTCTGCAAACTCACACCCAGGCAACTCCTTCTTACTATTCTTCACACAATTCTCCAAACTTCAGGAAACAGCATGTGACTCTGTGCTGTCTGAGATCATTTCCTAAATATTTTATGTACACTGAAAAGCATTCAAGGGTGGATGCATGTTTGAAAGGTTTTGTGTGCCTCGCAGTGCCTGCGCCAGTGCTAGGCACACTGGGTGCTCCATGAATGAGGGCCAAGTCCTGGCTTCTGCTCTGTCCTCATCCTCATGTCTCATTTCCATCCTGCAGTAGCTGTACATTGTCTGCCTTTCGTAGTGCTGGTTTGGCTTACATTTCTAGAAGGACAGTGGCAGGAAATTAAAACCTGTCACCCATCACTGCAACTTGTGGCATGTCCTTGATAAACACAGTCACAGTGGCACACAGTTTTCCTAAGCAGGAGAGGTGAGAGCAGCCTGCAGACATCAGGATGCCTCTGAGACTTTCTGGCAGAATGAAAATGCAGGACCATTACGGCAGCTGGCTACATGCTGGCAATTTCGGACCTGGAGAGCCTCTCCTCCAGAGGAGACACCCTCTTTTTGAGGAGCAAGGTGCTTTCTGTTTATAATGAAGCTCACTTTATTATTAATAATAACAAGCAGTGGTAGCATAACTATTCGTGGTTATTACCAGGGTAGGCAATGCTTATGGAGCACTTAATTATTTCCAAGGTACTGGGCTCCCCTTTTTACTTTCCCAGCTTTATTAAGGTATAACTGATGGGTTAATTTATTTATATTCAGTCTCTTAGATTTTCCTCACTACAGATCTATGAGTTGCTAGTTCCACTGCATGGATGATGAAATAAAGGCTCAGAAGATTTAGGCTATTTACACAAAGAGACACTGGAGAGAAGAGTGTGGCCATGAGCAAACCTGAAATTATGCCCTTCTGGTACTCATATATTTGAGAACACTGGTGCCCCAGGTGAAGTTGGGGTGGTTCAGGGTGGTTGAGTTGATGCTGGGGGAATGTTCTCAGGGGAGGCTCATTCCAAGGATAGCAGTACCCTCTGGAGCCTCAGGAAAGCAGATCATCGCCTATGATAGTACCCAGATGAAATATAGCATAAAATAATAGGGAGTGTACTTACTTATACTGCATGCTAGCTTTTTGCTGTTGTCATTTTTAGCATATATTATCTTGGTAAACAGAATGCACAATTTTGTGAAGAGGTATAATTTTTCTCCACATCACAATCAGAGAAAACTAGATTTGATGAAACTATACAATGCATCTGAGGCCAGGCTGCTAGAAACAGCAGAGCCACTCCTAGACTCTATATCCAGTGCTCACCTCTGGCCCTGCTGGGAAAGCCAGGCCTAAACACCCCTGTGCTGGAAGCTCTTTACGATTCTCTGACTCCCACAAGAAAAAAATTCCTAAGGGTCATTGCTCTGGCTTCCACTCAGCCCTCTGGTGTCCTTGTCTCCAGCTTCATTTCCTGTTTTTCCTTTAATTTCCTCCAGGAGAAGTGCTGTTAGAAGCATTGTCTGGGTCTCTTTGCTTCCTTCTCCCTGGTTTTGCAACAGAGTCACCCCCATGTGATGTGGCTCACCATCTCCGTGCTCAGGAACCTCTAACTCCTCCCACCTGTCAGTAGGAGGAGAGGAGGTAGGGAGGACCAGGGAGAATGATGGCTCGTGTTTTCTCAGAGCAATGCTGGCAGGCCTTGTGAGGGAGTCAAGGACAGTGCATTTTAGCTGGTTGTGTTACTTCTGGAATAAACCAATGAGCCAACATTGGAATGAGATGGGTTGTGTATTATCCAAGCCTAGGACACATATTTCAGGCCACATCGTGTATCCTTATAGGCCAAAGCCATCCCAGGGCAGCCCAGACCATACTTGGCAAATTGGGTCATGTCTTGTGATGACTGAGTATAAGACAGAGACTCAGTATCATACAATTTGACAAATATTTGCTGAGTGCCTGATCTGTACCTGGTCCTGTGCTAGGTACTTGGTTGAGGGGCTAGAGATGAGTGGAGTCTCTGAAGCCAAAGGAATTATGATTTATTTCCTGACTTCTTCTCTGAAAAAGTAGAAAATGAGAACACTATACCATATTCCAGAAGTACATAGCAGAACATTCATAGAGAAATTCATCTTCCCAATAAGATGATTTCCACACTGGCCACCAAATGAAGTTCCTATGAGAAGAGCTGGATTGAATCACTGGAAAATACTAAAACATGTGCACAAATATGTACACATACGTGCATACACATAGACACATGTAGACTACACATGTGCATACCCACACTTAAAATGCATGTGTATAGACATGTATGCAAGTGCACACCTACATAGAATACACATATATGACATACATGTACACGCATGTGCACATGTACGCATACATACAAACATATAGGCACATGCAGTCGTGTCCACATAGGTACATGCATTTAAATGCATGCACATACACACACCCATACAAACACAATGCCACAGAGTGTTTCTCTTTATGCCCCCATAGAACAGGTTGCTACATGACAAGAAACTAGCACAACTCCAGTATATGTTGGGCACGTGATAAGTATTTGTTGAATACTTATAAATGAGTAAAACCTAGGAGATGATGCATTGGAAGGAATACTAATAAGTAAGTGCACTTTTGTTTGGAATACACGTGATGGTGGTTGATATAGGTCATTCCTCCAGACAGATCAATTGAAGTGTTAATGATACATTTTTTTCGCAACTTTGATGAAAAATTGGCAACTGTGAGGAATAAATCCTTAGTTGGTGTTTCAGAATGTACATGACTGGATCTCTATATACTTTTGTGTTCTAATACATATCTGAGGGAGATATTTTTCCTCTTTGTGAGCTTTGGTGGGCACATGCCGTTCTAATCTCTTCTTAATGTTACAATTGTGACATGGGCCTGGAGAAAGAATCAGGTGACCAAAAATGGGTTATTATGAGAAGAGGCAGCAAAAAACCACAATGAATGATCATATGCCCACAAAACATAAGCATGCATGTGCACGTGTGTGCACTCACACACACATATACACAAACCTTTCTTAGCAGGGAGCTGGTTTTGGAGAGGTGCTTCTTATATTCATGAGTACTTACTATGCATTCTAGATGCCAAACCTTTAAACCTCATAGCATCCATGCCAATAGGCATTATTAACATTATTTTATAGGCGAGGAGAGAGAGACTCAGAGAGGATAATACCCTTTCCCAAATCACACAGCTAATTAAGTATCAGAGCAGGAATTGCAGTCTAGGCCCTCCTGTTCTCCTCTGTCATGCTGACTCTCAGGCAGGAGATACTACTTGACTAGTCTTTGTTTCATATGTTTCAGAGGTAGCATTTCCTTTGTACCTTCTGGGCACCACCCCTATCTTTTGGTAGGTATGGTTATGTGGGTACTCACTTACCATCTCCCAGGGGCCTCATCTGAGGAATCTCTGCATTTTGCCTCCTTTTTTTTTTTTTTTTTTTTTTTTTGAGACAGAGTCTCACTCTGTCTCCCAGACTGGATAGCAATGGCACAATCTTGGCTAGCTGCAACCTCCACCTCCCAGGTTCAAGTGATTCTTCTGCCTCAGCCTCCCAAGTAGCTGGAATGACAGGCATCTGCCACCACGCCTGGGTAATTTTTGTATTTTTAGTAGAGACGGGGTTTCACCATATTGGCCAGGCTGGTCTCAAACTCCTGACATCAGGTGATCCACCCACCTCGGCCTCCAAAAGTGCTGGGATTACAGGTGCTCGCCACCATGCCTGGGTAATTTTTGTATTTTTAGTAGAGACGTGGTTTCACCATATTGGCCAGGCTGTCTTGAAGTCTGCCTCCATTCATTACTCAGAACCTGGTACAGGTTTCTGTAGGGGTGTCCAATAAGCATTTTAAATGAATGAATCAATCAATGGAAAGATTTAGGGTAAAATATGAGTGCAGTTCCCTTAAATTGGTTTGATGAGGTGAATTATTTTCCTGGAAACTCCATATTTGAATGAAAGTCTTAGAACAGAAGACAATGAGGTGCTTAGTTGAAGATGGGCACCAGGAAAAGCTGGAGGTTGGCTTAAATGGTATTTAGAGTGAAACAGGATGGGATTTAATGTAGAAAAATGGTCTCACATAAATGTGGTAATTATAGGTTCTGCTCTCTCTCCACATTGGAGAACATTTGGGCACTTTCATAATTTTCTTGCTTCCAAAATAGTAACAGGTGCCTTCTTGCTGCTGGGAGCACTGAGGAAAAATGACAGTAAGGTCTCTTCAGTGTTCCAAGAAAGACCGAGAAAGACCCTGGAGAAGTACAAGATGTGACTATTATCATAACACTACTATGATAGCTATTAGCATTAGCAAAATTCCCCATTAGCAGTGCCTGTTTGAATTCAAAAGCTTATTGAGAGACCATGGTCTAAATGTCATTATGTACAAAGGACACATGTCAGTCAACAAGCAACCTCAAATGAAAAGGATCACTCATGGTTTTAGAGCTCATAGCTAAGTGATCTGTGGAAGGAACACATTAATCAGGTAATATTTTAGCTAGATATAATTTACCAAATAATGATGCTAATTATTTACAGGCAACTTTCAAAGAACCCCAATAGCCTGTCCTAACTGTGGTAGTTGGGGAAATTTACTGTTCTCTCTATTGCTTTGAATATATTAATTATTGTTAGCAATCAAGATTTTTTTTAACAGAGAGATTTTTCTTGTAACAGTTGGTTTAAACAGAATTTTTATCTGTACAACAGATTGAAAGGATACAAAATGTTAGAAGCAAAATGATGCTAATATCGGGCATCTGGTGCCCCCACTACATGGTGCAGCACTTCACGCATCATCTCTAATCCATACAATGATAGGAGCTGCCATTATCCACCTTTCACAGATCAGACAACTGCAGCCTGGAAAAGCTGAGTGCTTTAATTAAAGTCACATAGCTTGAGTGGGATGGAGCTGGAATGAAAACCCAAGAGTATCCAAATCTAAACAAAATACTCTCCCTCTTACCCCTTGAGAATGGTGCCAAACAGTAAAGGTCTCTTGCAGGTGGTAAGTGTGAAGCCCTCCTCCTCACTTCCATTTTTAAGAAGTCAGTACCATGGCTTAGCAGGATTTGAGGATACGTTGACATCCTGTTCACAGACTGTCTCAAAGGTCTGGAGGGCCCCACAGATCAATGCAATCAGCTCTATCCTGAGGAACTCACCAATCCTAGATGGGGAGGTAGAGAAGTACCCTAGACATACAATCCCACTTCTTTGAGAGGCCCTACAGTCAGAGTGCCTCAGGGAACTAAGGGAAATGAAGAAATAGACTGGAACTGAGATGTCAAAGAAGGCTTCTAGAGCAGGTGACACTCATACAAATCAAAAAGATGAGTAGGGTTAGGAGGGCCACCAAGTTGGGAAGGGGTCCTCAGGCATAGGAGGTATCACGTGCACCATGCTGAGGTGCCAGAGCACTTGGCACATTGCAGAATTACAACAGAGCTTGATGGAGCTGCTGCAGATGTGCATGGGAGAGCAGAAGGGCATGACAAATAAGGGATACCTTGAGAGGCCAGAGAGACAGGCACCAGAACATGGCACCCTCGAATTCGATGAGAAGCTGCTTGATTTCCTTCTGTAGGAGAGGAGGATTCAGATTTCACACGGCTCTTTCCCCTCACACACGTACCTCTCACTATATGCAAATTAATACAGGTATTGCCAAATAGCCTTTCTTTTTAAAGCTTTCTTACTCTGGCATAATAACTATAAAGAAGGCTTGCATGCAGGAGGAGCAAATTGATTTGGGAGCCATGTGCCTGTCTGCCTGAGCCTGGAAAGCAAGCCTTCTTTCCTCTAAATGATACACCTTTGCCAAAAGCTGTCTGCTGACAGCTCTGACAGTCCCTCTGTCACCATGATGGCATTTCAGGTGTGGGGAGTGAGCAATGAGAGGGACCAGCACCCAAGACAGAAACACACACACACCCAGGGAAGGTAAATGACTGTACACAGGACATTTATCTCTGAGGTTGTTCCCCCAGCAAAACCAATTACTGGCCTTTTCTTTGGAAACGTGCGCCGAGTATCAACTTGTTGGGGGCTGGAGTGAAAAGATGCTAGGATGCGTCTTTGTGATATTCATGAGTCTGCCGAGAGTTCCAAAGCAAAGAATTTAGTATTTCTGGGCTTCAGCAGGTGGGGAGGGTGCAAAGCACATTTTAAAAGAGCTCTAAGAAATGGGGTGTTGAAGTGGCACTTTTATAAAATACACACTTAGGAATTGGAGGCAGAAGTCAAGAGTCATTCTGGGGGAGAAGGGAGAACTGATCACATGAATATAAGACCTGATAAAGGGCAAATTCACTGTCCTCTAGGGAAAACTGCAGGAGGTCTTTTTGCTGAGCTCACATGCAGGTGAGGGAAGGCTACCCGTCACCTTCCATATTAATTGGGACACAGAGCCAGCTGTTGTCCTAAGGAGTTATAGGACCCATGTCAAGCTCTTGCAGAAAAAAAAAAATGTTACCCAAAAGTATATTCATTGTTAAGAACCGTTACCGAACTGAGCCAATAACAGGGAGACTAGGATGCTTATGTAGGCAGAGGTGACACTGTGGCTTCTGTTGCCTTGTCATTTTGAGTTTTTTTCCATCCCCAGGCCTGTCCAGAGTGACAGGAATCTGTTATCAGTGATATGGACTTGCCCTCCATTCACCACCACCATCTCCCTCAGGGTTCTCTGTGCAGATATCTCCTTCCATCCCTTTAGGGCTGCTGAACTTGGTTATGCAATTTCTTTGCTGCATGGAGGTATCAGCCAAAGAGACCCCATATCCACAAGGTATTGCACTTGCCCAGAGGACCTGCTTTTTCCTGATATGCTCACAGAAGCTCTAAAGTCTGGCGCCCTGCCTTTGCTTTTCCCCTTGCTTCTTCCGTATTCACAGGGGTAAGCAGGATAACTGGACGGGGGCACAGAAGATCTGGAACACACTGAGATCCTTGCTCTGCTTCCTAAGGGTTCCTAAGGGAACCAACCACAACTCTTGGGGAATAAAATCAGACTCCTCTTTTACACACAGATATCCAAGCAATTCTTTTATTGTCCCTTTGATTGAAATGGACTCGTCCCCTCTAGGAATCAAGGGGGATATACCAAACTCACATTTCTTTAAGGAGCAAACAGTAGAGCAAATCAGCAGAACCTCAAAATTGTGTGAGAACTGATAGGGTTCTCAGGGGGCTGTCTCTCCTGGAAGTTGTAGTCTAGAAGCTGGCAAGCATACTTATCCAACACTCAGAGTATTTACTTTTTATTTACTCATCTATTTGTTTTTATAAGGCAGTTCTCCTAAACAAGATGTGACTTTTCCCCAGGCTTCACTTCCCCACGCTATATTAGGTGCACTTTGAACATTTGCATTACTAGCCAGATTCCTGGAAACATTTTAACGTGGGTCCCTTGTCTTTGTTCACTTCCCAGGTTTTACAGATAGAGAAACTAAAGTTTAGTGAGGGAAGGTGTTGCACCAAGTACACATAGCCCCATCATTGGAAAGGGTTAAATGTTGAACTGGTTTTTTGACTTCTTTGTTCAGCACTATTTCCTTCTCTTAGAGATGCTTTCTGAGTCTTGAGATGACCACCGAGTTTTTAATAAGTGGTCTGAGAGGGTACAATTTGATCTTGACCTTAACTATCTTCATGGTTTCACTGAACCCTAACAGGCTGCATGCCTTCTCTTTCTTGCAAAGTAGAAGGGGCAGGGAGTAGACACCTCAGCTTCTTTCTTATCACCTGAAGGTCCAGGGAAATGCACAATTGGAATGAGTCATGAGTGTTATTTATATCAATGGTGCCTCCTTTTCTCTGAATGCATCTCCTACTGGCCTCAGCCCAGTGTTCCCTGTTGTGCCTCTACCTCCCCTAATCTGTCTGGCCTAATCAGCTTCCGGCAGGATTCTTTTTGTCTCCTGATCTTGCCCTGCCATAGTCTGTTGAGCAGCCGGTGTCTTTTCCTGAATGATCCGATTCCCAGAGGTAGCATTCTTGGGGTTCATGCACTGCTTTCAGCTTCTGCTTCCTTTTGGCAACCTGTTGTTCTTTTCCCATGGCTGTCTAGATCTAGTTTGTCTCTTTGCATTGCTTGAGTATCTCCTGAGTGCCAGACACCAAACAGGTGCATTGCCTATGTTTTAGTTTTTAAATTCCAAAATAACCTCATCAGGCTAAGGGCTACATCCAAAAAAAAAAAAAAACCCCTCCAATTTTAGGGCCTTAATAAATATTTATTGCTCTCTCATGCAGTGTGCAATGCATATGTACCAGGGTGGCACTCCTGGGCACCTTTCAAATGGTGACTCAGGGATCCATCCCTCTTCAGTCTTGGGACACCATCTCCCTTGGTACCACATGACCTCCAAGATTGCCAAAGAAGAAGAGAGTATGTGGAACACATACAGATGCTCTTGCATTTTGGCCTGGAAGTTAGCCACATCACTTCTACTTATATTCCACTTGCGAGAACCAGTCACGTGATGCCATCTAGATGCAAGGCAGGCTGGGAAATGTAGTCCCTGGCATAGAAGTTACTTCTCAGCAATAATTCTGCACTGGAAAGGGGCATAGATCCTTCAGAGTCCACTCATTGTCTCTGCCTTTAGTTGCACATGAGAAAACGGGCCCAGGGAAGTTGCCTAAGGCCACATATCTTATAAATAACAAAGTTAGCATTGGAACATTGGGGAGAAGATTGTCAAGCATACTAACCTAATATGACAACTTCCCTGAGGCCTTTGGATTTCCTAGTTTCATAATTCCCAGGAAAATGTGATTAAGGCTAGGGACTCTCAAGCCAGATTGTCATGATTTGAAGCTTGGTGCTGCCACTTATGAGCTGCACAATAGTGGGCAAATTACTTTCCCTTTCTTAGCCCAGTTTTCTCCTTTATAAAATAGACACAATAATAGTATCTATATCAAATGCTGCTTGTGAGAATTCAATGAATATCTTGCACATAACTTAGATTGCTGCTTGGTGCATAGACAGTGCTGTGTGTTACCTGTTGCTGTTTTTGCTGTGATTTACTCTCCCACATTGGGTTAATCTGCCTCAGCACTGAAGTCCCCATTCTTCCACCTTATACTCATTCTTGATGCATGTTAGCTTAGCTGCATCCACTACTGTGTTTCACCCACCCCTACAACACAGCTTCCTCTTTTCTCCTTGAGCTCTAGGCCACTAGAATAAGTCTCTCTCCCTCTCATCAAGAATATTTATAGTATTTAACCAAATAAGCAATCATTTTTTTTCCTCTGAAAGTAAGTGGTATCTTGAGCTACAGTAATCTCACCTTCTTGGTGGTCTTACTCTGGCTTCAGCCCAACAAATATTTCTTCACTGTATCTCCCCTGAATTAATTGTACAGTATTATTATATGATCTGCATATATTTTATTCTGAAAATGGCTGGGTTTTAAGAGTAATAAGATCAATGTACTCTTTATGGAAACTGTAAAATACTTAAGAGATTCAGGCATACCTGAGGACAGATAGAATAAGCAACTCCAATTTGTACCAAGGAATTCAGGTTAATAAAAGGAAAAGACTCCTTTTGACCTTTCCTTGAGAAGCTGTTTATGAGAATAACATTCAGCAGGCACTTAATTTGCTGCCGTCACCTTGCTTGGGTAGAAAAAGACCTAATGTTGAACTTTTAAATGTTAAAGGGGTCATTCATAATTAACTCACATGCTAGGAATGTTTCATGTGAATGCTACATGGTTCCAATGTCACTGACCTGCACCCCCATGTCTGCATATTCCAAGGAACACAATGGCCCAGCCACAAAATAGATACCATGGGGCCATGCCATAACCTTTTCTTTAGACCATGCTTTCCTTCACCATGGGTCACAGCATGATATCCATTGTGGGCCCACAACACTAGGCCATTGTGGACTGTGCATGCAGCCCACTTCTTAAATTCCGAGGCCATCCCTGAGTGACATTGGAGCCTCTCCCCAAATTCAAGGATGCATGAGCACCCCATGTCCAGTACCTACTAAAAAATCTAAAATCCAAAGTTGGGGCTCTCATTCCAGTGCTCTTTCTCCTGTTCCAAATTTTCTTCCTTATTATGCAGTTCTAGTGCTAATTTATTTTGCCTTTGTGCACGTATATATGTGTTTCTCTAGCTATGTGCCTAAGGGTGGAATCACTGTATCATCAGGGCCTCCATACCTTCAGCATTAGGAGATACTGACAAAATGTTTTCAAAAGTGATTTTACTAATTTCTGTTTCCATCAGCAGTGTATGAGAATTTCTCTTGTTCCATAACTGTGTCCCACTTAATGTTAATGAATTATTATTTTTTTGTCATCCAATGAATGTACAAAGCTGTTTTATTGTAGCTTTTTCATTTTCTAATCTTTATTTTTTTAATTGGCCACTGGAGTTTCTCTTTTTGTGAGAGTCCTGATCCACTGGTAGTCAGTTTTCTATTAGTTTTCTGTCTTTATGTTGATTTATTGGCTATTCTTTTTTTTTCCTTTTTTTGAGATGGAGTCTTGCTCTGTTGCCCAGGCTGGAATGCAATGGCACGATCTCGGCTCACTGCAACCTCCGCCTCCTGGGTTCAAGTGATTCTCCTGCCTTAGCCTCTCAAGTAGCTGGGATTACAGGCACCTGCTACCACGCCCAGCTAATTTTTTGTATTTTTAGTGGAGACGGGGTTTCTCCATGTTGGCCAGGCTGGTCTCAAACTCCTGACCTCGTGATTCATCCACCTTGGCCTCCCAAAGTGCTGGGATTACAGGCGTGAGCCAGCACGCCCAGCCTATTGGCTATTCTTTATATATTCTGGATGCTAGTTCTTTACTGATGATGTATGTTGCAAAATAGTATTTTGTGTTTTCATTCTTTCTCTGGTGTCTTTTTTTGGTAAAAACTTTATTGAGATATAATTCATGTGCCATACGATTCACCCGTTTACATTGTACAATTCCGTGATTTTTTGTATACCCATAGACGTGAT
This sequence comes from Homo sapiens, assembly GCF_000001405.40. Lineage (NCBI taxonomy): Eukaryota > Metazoa > Chordata > Mammalia > Primates > Hominidae > Homo > Homo sapiens. Next base: position 87,579,878 of record NC_000015.10, on the reverse strand, counting down.
CGTCACCACAATCAATTTAAAAGATTTTATTGCCCTAAAAAGAAACTGGTACTCTTTGTGAGTCACTCCCCATTTGCCTCGAACAATCCCCATCCCTCCCCCCGCCAGCTCTAGACAACCACCAATCTGATTTCTGTCTCTACAGATTTGCTTAGTTTGGACATTTTATACAAATGGAATCATACAGTATGTGGCCTTGTATAATAACTGGTTTATTTCACTTAACACAACGTTTCAAAGTTCATTCGTGTTGTAGCATGCATCTGTGCTTCATTAGTTTTGATTGCCAAATAGTATTGCATTGTAACTCTGGTATCTTTTAATTAAAGAGAGGTTTAAAATTGTAACCTTTTAAATAAAATGGCTCAAAATAGATAGGAAAATGAATGCCTGAGAAAGTTCTTCTGAGTCTTAGAGTGTCCATATCTTTGACTTCCTCTGGGGCATACTAAAGTGAGGACAGGGCAAGAACTTGAAGATGTGCCATTTAAAAATGAAAACTCCATCTTCACGGTTTGGGCTTGGAACCCTGTGCTAATGAGAAAATCCCTGCAGATTTCAGATATGCCAAGCTCATCTTGAGTATGACAAGGAGGACAGTTGCTTATGTTGTGCACTGAAGAAAAAAATGAGAAAATGAAATAAGATGGCAAGGCATTTACCTTAGCAAAAAATGTACAGGCTTCCTTTTAACTTTCTTCAGAAAAGAATATTTGAAGATGCAGATAGTGAAAAAGGAAAAAGATCCACTGCTTCAGAAATGTCAACAACTACCAGTAATCCTTAGTCAGAGATAAAAATCTCTTAAAGAGGCGTAGGAGGGGAGCCCCTCATGCCTGTTCTGTCCATGGCATAGTCTTCTCACCTGTTAAAGTTTGAGTCATAAACCCCCGCCCCCACTATCACTTCTCAGTCTATTTGACCAAATCCAAACCTATTTCCTCCCACTTCCAAATCACTGCCTGCCATTCAAACCCGTGTAGGCGAACTCCAGTTGGCATTTGGTTTTGAATTAATACATATTAGTGGGTGGTAATACATTTCTACCAGTGCATATATTTACTTGAAATACAATTTTCCATCTAATGCATTTTATTCACATCACTGCATGGTAACTGCATCCAGAATAATATCTTTAATGATTATTCATTACTGGAATAATGTATCGGTGCCAAACAGTAGCTTTTAAGTGGCTTCAGATTTTTTTCTTTAAATTGAACATGTTATTATTACACAGATAGAATAATCCCATTATCCCTACTAACTGAAGATGACAGCTTTCCAGGAGGCTCTTTGACAAAGCTGAATTCAGGTGGGAACCAGGCCTTCCTCTGACTAGGGATGGGGTGGAGGTGGGAGGTGGTTAGGTAGCTGGTCTTGGGGAAGGTGCTGCTTTGAATGTGAAGACACATGTGGGATGAACAGATGGAGCAGAAAGCTCGTGTGCATGTGAGGTATAGTTCAGAGTAAAGTGAGTGTGCTGTTTAAAACAAAAAGTGAAGGTAAGGACAGACGTGTCTTTTGAAAGCTGTGAATGAGTGTGTGTGTGTGTGAGAGAGAAACATGGGAAGGATGAGAGAGAGAGAGAGACATAAACAGACACACACAGAGAGATATGGAGTAAAAGAGACACACACAGAGATATGGAGTAAAAGAGACACACAGATTGAGAGAGAGAGAGAGGGAGGGAGACTGAGATTTTTCTGTAATAGCAAAAAAATATGCAAAAAATCTTCTGGGATTGCAGAATGATGTAGCAAAGCATCACAATTCATGGAGAAACTTCAGGATGAATTGTTATGATCTGTGGGAAGGCAGGATTATGTCTTAGAACATGAGGCAGGAGGAATCACTTATTGAATGACATTTCTATTGTGTAACTCTTTTATTTATTTTTTTTCTAAATGACAGTTATTATCCCCATTTTCTCAGATTAGGAAACTGAGGCTCAGAGAAATCAGATTTAATTGCCCACAGTCATCTACCTAGTAAGTGCTAGAAAGACAATTTGATTCCAAATCCATGTAATTATAAATCCTGTGTTACTTTCACTGGATTCAGAATGAGGAGTGGTTAAGACTATTAGCTGCTAAAATCCTAGTTTTATCACTTACGTTTGCAGACTGTAGGGCTTTGGGCCAATTTCTTGATTTGATGGTTGCCATTCTTCTACAGGAATGTTGTAAGGATTCAGTGAGAAAGAGCACATGGAAAGTCTCAGATCATAAAGAATTGTTCAGTTATTGCAAATATGTTCTTTATTTCCCCCCCACCCCATGACCTCTGAAACCAGAGAGGAGCATGCCCTGCACCACCCATGAAACTTTGTGAAACCTTGCCTCCTCTGCCTCCTCCAGTCCCTGGATCCACAGTCCTTGCCTCAGGCGGGCTTAGAGCTGAACTAGATCTGCAGCCTTTCTTTGTGCCTAGTGTTCATCACCCATCAGCACTTTGGAGGTCATAGTCTGAGGGTTTCTACTAAACCTCAGAGAAGCAACCTAGATCATCTTCATTGTTTCATAGTCGTTTTCACGTTAGGCTTTCCTGGGAAAGGCTTAAAAAATGAGGGCACCAAGGGCTCATTCAAAGAGATGAAACCGTAAGGTACTGATATTTTTAAATATCACCTGTCATTCTAATATTCTACTAGGGCTGATCACTATTGGTCTTTGATTTAGGATTTAGTTTATAGATGGGAAGATCAGCAAAGCAAACCTTGAAGGCTAATGGACAGTGAGGGTAAAAAGCTGTCTTCATTTTCTGTTGCCTAACACTCTGTTACAGAGTATCTAAAACTGGGCAATATATAAAGAACAACATTTATGTCTTACCATTCTGGAGGCTGAGAAGTCCAAGGTCGAAGGTTCACCTCAGGTGAGACCTTCCTGCTGGGGACTCTCTGCAGAGTTCCAAGGTGTTGCAGGGCAATCGCATGGTGAGAGAGCTGAGTGGCCTGACTCAAATCTCTCTTCCTCTTCCTAGAAAGTCACCAACCTCACACTCATGATGAACCACTAATTCATTAATCTATGAATCTATTAATGAGAGCAGAACCCTCATTGACACAATTACCTCTTAAAGGCTCCATTTCTTGATGCTGACACACTGAGGATTAAATTTCAGAATGAGTTTTAGAGGGGACACATATTCAAATTATAGGTGAAACTGGGTGGAGCCCAATAGAAAGCCTTTGTCCAGATGGTCTGAAGTCTCTGATCCAGGTGTCTCCAATGTGAGAAGCCAGAACAGAAGCTAGATTGCCACAACCAGGTGCCGGGCCAGGTGCTGAGAACTGAGGAAGAGTTATTAATTTTCCAGTGCTGCCAAGAAAGAACCCAAGACATTGCACATGCAGTTTTCTTTCCTCTTTCTGACTTAGCTTTTTCTTTTTCTACTATTTCCTATATAGATTAAAAAATTTGGTGTGTAAATAACTATACAGGAAAATGGGCTTTTTTAGTGTATATTCCAAAAATTTTAACACATGTATAGATTTGGGTAACCACCTCCACAGTCAGAATATAGTTCCATCACCTCAAAAAAATTTCTTTGTGCTATCCCCTTGTACTCGCACACTCCCCCAAACCCAGCCCCAGGCAACCACTGGTATGTTCTCCGTCACTGTAGTTGTGTTTGTTCGAGGATGTCATATAAATGTGATCACAATGTCTATAATCTTTTGAGACTGAATTTTTACATTCAGTCTTTGAGGGTCATCCAAGTATGAATGATTTGTTCCCTTTTATTGCTAAGTAGTATTCCATTGCAGGAATGCATAGCATTTGTTTAACCATTCATTCACTGAAGGGCATTTGGATGGTTTCCAATTTGGGGTGCTTATGAATAGAGCTTCTATAGATATCTGGCACAAGATTCTTTTGTGTGTATGAATACAAGCTTTTTCTTTTCTCTAGAGTCATATGGTAATTGTGTGTTTTACTTTATAAGAAACAGATAAACTGATTTTCAGACTGACTATACTATTTTTCATTCACAGCAGCAAGGTATGAGAATTCTAGTTGCTCCATATCCTCCCCAGATCTTGATATTTTATTTTTATATTAACAATTCTAGTAGGTATGCAGGGGCATCTTGTAATTTTAATTGGCATTTTCCTTATGGTTAAAGATGTAGAAAATATTTTTATGTCCTTATGTCATCCTTAAGTAATCTTTGAAGCAGTCCGTGTTTGTCTTTTACCCATTAAAAAATGTGCACTGAGTTTTCAGAGTTCTTTATGTATTCTAGTTACAAGCTCTTTGTCCAATACACAATTTGCAAATATTTGCTGCAAGTCTGTGGTTTTTCTTCTAATTATCTTAACACTGTCTTTCACAGAGCAGGATTTGAAAAATTTTGATAATAACTATTTTTTCTTTAACAGATTGTGCTTTTTGTGTCATATCTAAGAACTCTTTGCCTAACCTCAGGTCATGAAGGTTTCCCTTGTGTTTCCTCTGAAAGTTTTATACATTTATGTTTTGTTTTTTGATGAATGATCTATTTAAGGCATGAAGTTTAGGTTGAAGGGCATTTAAAAAAGACCTTTTTGCATACAGTGTGCAACTGTTGCAGTTCATTTGTTGAAAAACAAATCAACAAAGAAGAAACTATTATCTCTCTATTGAAATCCTTTTGCATCTTTGCCAAAAATAAATTAGTTATATTTGCATAGATATATTCCTATATTCTCTATTCCATTCCATTGGTCTGGATGCCTATCCCTTTGCCGATACCATACTCGCTTGATTACTGTAGCTTTACATTACGTCTTAAAATTGGATGATATAATTTCTCCAACTTTATTCTTTTTTTCAAAATTGTTTTAGCTATAGTAGATTTTTGCCTTCCATGTAAATTTTCTTCTCTATATCCACAAAGATATTTTGCTAGAATTTTGACAGAGATTGCATTAAACCTATAGATTAATTTGCAAAGAATTAGCATATTTACTATTTTGAGTTTTCCAGTCAGTGAACATGGCATAACTCTCCATTCATTTAGATTTTCTTTGATTTTTCTCAGCAGTGTTTTGTCATTTTTATGATATGGATCTTGTATATGTCTTGTTTCATTTTTTCTGGAATATTGTAGAAAACGTTTTATTTTCTGAAACTATTTTTTTTTAAGTTTTGGTTTCCAATTCTATATTGCCGGTATACAGGATCATGATTGATTTTTGTTTGCTGACCCTGTAACCTGTGACCTTAATAAACTCACTTATTAGTTTTGAGAGATTTTTTTGAGATCCCTTTGAATTTTCTGCATTGGCAAATGTCAGATTAAAATAGGGACAGTTTTATTCATTCCTTTCCAATCTGTATGCATTTTATTTTATTTTATTTTATTTTATTTTTGCCATATTGCATTGGCTACAAATGTTACTACTGTGTTGAATAGGAGCAGTGAATTTAGAAATTCTTTTCTTTTCCTAAATCTTAGAAAGTATTTTGTCTTTCACCGTTAAGTATGAAGAGTTATAAGTTTTGTGTAAATATATTTTACTGGGTTGAGGAAGTTTCCTTCTATTGCTAATTTGGTTAGAGATTTTTTCATGAGTGAACATTGAATTTTATCAACAATGTTATGCTTTTTCAGCATCAAATGATATGATCATGTGGCTTATATTTTTTAAAGTATTCAGATGGTGGATTACATTGATGGGTTTTAGAATACTGATTTAGCCTTGCATTCCTGAGATGAACTCTATGTCGTTGTGATGTATTACACACACTCTGTCTCTCAGAGGTAGGTAGGTAGGTAGTTAGATATTGCTCTCTATATATCTATCTATAGAGAGCGCTATCTATATATATCTATATGTAGATTATATATAGATATGTCTTTATAGATATCTCTACAGATATATATCTCTCTGTAGATAGGTATCTCTATAGAGACAGACCTATATATACACATGCACACACATATATATATAGAGAGAGAGATCTATCTATCTATTTGGACTTGTCCTTTCAGTTTTTAACAAGATCTCCAAGTGAGTCTAATGCACAGAACTCTTGGACTACATGGACATGCTTTGGTTTCTCAATTTCTCTTCATCATTTGGAATTTCTAAAGCTTGAACACTGATGACAGGAGAGTATGACATCATCACAAGTCTCAGACAGTAGCAGCCACCTCATGCAGCCAGACAGATAGACCCATAACACATATCCATCTTCATCACTCAGAAGGTTCAGCCTCATTTATCATGGCAGCTACAATAGTCCAGCCTCCTGGGAGGGAGGGACTGACACCACCTTGGTGTTTTTAACAATCTGGAAGCGTTGGCTGCTGGAATCACATGATATTATTTGAAAGGAAAGAAATGTGTCTCTTGGAAAGAAAATGAAAACAAATAAATAAATACACAGACAAGTACAGATTGTAATTAGTTAGTAGCAAAATAATTAGTGACAAAACTGCCTCCAGGCAGGAGCTGGAGCAAACCTCTTCATTCCTATGGTGAGGCACTGACCCCACTAAATGCTTATTATTCATAGTTTTCCCGGAGCCTCATTGATACTGTACTGCCAAGACCTCAGGGACCTGCTATTGCGATTTCCCCACAATTTACAGGGAGAATGGAGCCCAGTTGCTTGGGAGATTAATTAACTTGTCAAACAATTAAGCAGACAGGCTGTAATCGAGGTTTCCATTTCATAATTGATTTATCGCTTTGTAGCTTCTTGAGTCCCAGGGCTCATAATGGAGGGACTGCTGTGCAGGGAAAACCTTTCAGAGAATGCCAGGAGGCTGTGGGGAGGGCAGGAGGTAAGGCCCTCCTGGTCCTGCGTGGGTGGTGTGCTCCGGCCTGGCCTCTGACCAGCCTTCAGACTTAGTGAGAATTTCATTTTCTGTCTTCCAGTGCCACTGGCCAGATAATTCCCTTTATGTCCTCAGAGCCTTGCCCAGTCCAGTATTGTTTAGTAAGTAAAGACCCAAAGGAGTGTCTATGAGAACACATCTACAGTTCCAAGGCCACCCTCCCCTTGATGAAATGACTAAGGAAACGTCACTCATTATTAATATATCCTGAGACTGTGGCTCCAGTTAGCCTTCACTGTATATTTAAGGAGATATCACACGTCCTTTCTGGAAGGCTGTGCCTCCTGATACCATTGGCTCACGATTGTGATATGCAGCGGTGTTCAAGCTTTAGTATGCATCAGTGTCACCGGGGAGCTTGTCAACCAAGTGAGTCTCCAGCGCCACCCTAAAGTGTCTGCCTTAGGAATTCTGGGGTAGGGCTTTGGAATCTGCCTGCTGAACAGAACACATTCCCCAGGCGATTCTCTTGTAGACAGGCTTCATATTTAGATTAAATTCCCAACTTGCAGACATTGTTTGGGGTCTTTGCTACCCAGTGTCCCGTAGCAGAGGCTGGAAGACAATCAGCAAATATTTTATGTCTCTGGCTATTTACCATGCAGTTGCATACCAGTCTGAAGGCCCTGGAATCTGGGTGTGGTTTGGGTTGATTTCTTTAGGGATGCTTCAGTTAGCCTGGATCAAAAGTCAGGAGAAAAAGTTTCTTCTGCTTTTTTGGATTTCTGTCTTAGTGCTTTTGGACAGGTTTGTGGTCTGTGTGTGTGTGTGTGTGTGTGTGTGTGTGCGCACGTGCACGTGCGCGCATGCGAGCACATATAACACACACTCACATGGATGCATTTTGATTGCATTTACATGCATTGCTCAATTATGCAGTTGCATTATTTCCCTAAATCTTATAAATCATTTTTCAGACAAGATATTCAATAAATACTCCTTTTTGCCCCAATTTGCCCTCATTCACACCACTCCCCTAGCCCTCCTTCCCAATTATGTCCCTAACATCCTGAAGCAAAGGTGCTCTATCATCAGCTCTCTGAAATTTTACAAGGAATCACCAATCTCGACCACAAGCTTCAGTAATAAGCTTAGAAAAGTAGGGTTCATGGAGGTAACTTTTGCTACCTACAGTCTGTTTCCAATTAAGAAGCTTGAACCATGTTCAGAGTTTGAAAGAATTACTTTCTATACCACATGTCAAGGATAAGTTTCATTTATTCATTTGCCTAATTTTTCAAATAAAGCATGGCAGGTGCGACAGAAGCCTTCTCTTCTCCACTTTCGTTCTCCTCTCCCTCTCCCCAGCAGCAACCATTACCTTGAAGCTGATGTGCAGTATATTTGGGTTAGTCATGCTTTTACATGCTTACCTCCTATATGTTGTATACATCTCCATAAGCAATGTATCATTTGTTTTCTAAAGTGTTTTAAAAATTTTTTCTAATGTACACTAATGGTGTTCCTTACCCAATCATTTAACTGTGTTAACTACTGTTCCTCAACTTGCCTTTTTCTTGGAACATTATGTTTTTAAGGCCTATCTTTGTTTACCTCATGTAGGTCAAATCCATTCCTTTTAGCTGCTGTAGAGTATTCCTTCATCTGAGCGTGGCATTGCCCTGTCCAGGTCCTCTGTGTTGTAACCAAGACTTCACTGATTGCTGCAATGCTTAGTGACTACGGCTATTCACGTATCCCACATGTGTACCCGTGCAAGGGTTCCTCCTAGGAAATAACTAGAGGAGGAATTGCTGAGTCTTAGACTATGCAGACTTTGAATTAGATTTGGGCAGACATTGCCAAATTTCTTTACTCGGTGCTTTTACCAATATATAAGGATGTGAGAGTTATCTTTTCCGATGTCTCCACCAGAATGTAGCATCGTAGACTATACACATTTCTACTAAGTACAGTCATAGTCTCCTACCCAACCAGATTTGTAAGGGAATCAGACAATTCCTTTTTAAAAATAATTTATAGGAAGACCTAAGCTTAAATGGATAACTCATAAAATGAAGGAGTGAGATGAATGTAAACTTGTGTAACCCAGATCCCCAAGAATGTATTATAAAAACACAATAAAACCTCAGTTATTGAGCTGTCTTTTAAAAATGTACAAATCAGCCTGGGCGCAGTGACTCACGCCTGTAATCCCAGCACTTTGGGAGGCCGAGGTGAGCAGATCACCTGTGGTCAGGAGTTGGAAACTATCCTGGCCAACATGGTGAAACCCCATCTCTACTAAAAATACAAAAATTAGCCGGGTGCGGTGTTGGACGCCTGTAATCCCAGCTACTCGGGAGGCTGAGGCGGGAGAATCGCTTGAACCTGGTAGGCAGAGGTTGCAGTGAGCCGAGATCGCGCCACTGCACTCCAGCCTGGTTGATGGAGAGAGACTCCATCTCAAAAAAAAAAAAAAAAAAAAAAAAAAAAAAAATACAAATCAGTGAAAAAATTAATGTCTACTATTAATTGCAGCAATTTGAGCCAGTGGCAAATGAAGATAAATTATAGGCTTCTGGGTCTCAACTATCTCAGATCCTTTGTTTTTTTTGGATATATATGAAATACAAATATGAGAGTTAGAGTAAGGTCACTTGTAGATCGTGCCTTTCTTTTATGGGCCCTGTTAAAATGGTAAATACTCTGTTATGCATAGCCAGTTGTTTCACTTTCACTTTTAATTTGCTTAACCAGTCTCTTACTATTGACCCCCCTCCCTACCACTTTATTTTTCTTTTACTGAACGGGAAAAAATAAACTTGAGGCCAGTCCTCATGTGAATTATTATTCTGTCTGCACTTGAGAAACCTCTATTAATGAGGACTTGTGGAAACTGAATAATTGATGCACATGTATTTCTGAGCTTAATTATCAGCAAAACTAATTCTCTTCTCTCTTTTCACTTCATATTTATAGACACTGCTATAGTGGCTGTTCTGAAGGTCATACTGCCAGACTAGTCATGGGAAATCTTAGAATGTAGGGCTCACCTGGTCATCTTGTCTCCCAAAGTTAATATCCAGATGTATATATGGACAAAATTATATTGGTCCTCTTTTATATTCAAAACGCTGGCTACAACTAGACCCTTGCAAAGCTGATGAATATGAGATCCCCTTCCAGGCATTCACAACTTAGGGTGACAGAGCACACATACATAACTCTAATATTAGTAGGGAAGATCACTATCCATAAACCAGGAAGAGTGTTCCCACCAGAAACTGGAACTGCTAGCACCTTAATTTTCTCAGGTTCCAGAACTGTGAGTAATAAATGTTTGTTGTTGAAGCTGCCCAGTGCATAGTATTCTATTACAGCAGCTGGAACTAAGACAAAGTGCGTGATGATAAAGAGTAGAAAAGCAGACCCTTGCTTGGTGGTGGGGATGGATTGCGTGATCTGGACAAAAGGGAGAAGAGATAAATAGATATACCTAATGTAAATGATGAGTTAAGGGGTGCAGCACACCAACATGGTGCATGTATACATATGTAACAAACCTGCACGTTGTGCACATGTACCCTAGAACTTAAAGTATAATAAAAAAAAAATGAGGCAGAGAGAGACAGAGAGAGAGAGAGAGAGAGAGAGAGACAAACAGCAGTGGTGTTTTCAACATGCAATCATTTCACAGAAATAAAGGAAAACAAAAAACTTAGAATTGGAAGAGAAATTGAAAATTACCTCTTACAGATGTGACTATTTCTCTAACCCTGACCTGTTGGCCAACCAAATCAGAATCTGTAGATGTTAAAGATTCAGATTCCCTCGTCTCCATGTACCAAGAATCTTAATTTTTCACACTGACTGCATGACTCTTAATGCACAGTAAAGTCTCAATCGTGGCTATGGTTCATTCAATAAATAATGGACTCCACTTTTCCTTACATTATTTATTTCCCAGAAAATGCATCACCTCTTTTAAATTTCTGAGACTGGCTTCCCAGCTTCACTTTGGATACCTCCAGAGACAGGAACATTATTCTTTTTAGGGTGGGCTCATTCTGTTCTTACGTATAATGTCTTTGATTGGGTGGCTCCTCGTCTCTCTCAGGGTCCATGGGTTCAGGGATTAAGAGTTGGAGTGCTGCTCTGGAGGATGGATTGTACAAGTGCCAATCTGGGCTCCACCGTCTATTGACTGATATCCCTTGGCAAGTGCCTCTGGGTTTCATTTTGAATTAGAGATAATAATAGCTCTCACCTCCTAGGGATGTTTTGGGTAGTTTTAGTTGCCTATTGCATGAGAACCACTTGGAATAGTATCTGAATCAGTGCCAGTCACACAGAAAGGCACTGTATTTGGTTTTGTTTAGTGCTCTGCTGTCTTTGTCTCTAAAATGCTTAATAATTTTTGAACAAGGGGCCCTGCATTTTCCTTTTTTCACTGGTTCCTGCAAACTATGTTGCCATTCTTGGGAAGAGCCCAATGTGTGTTAGCGCTTATAAACTGGCACAATTGTTCTAACATTTTGAAAAGCTTAAATTATTAATACGGTTTCAAAAAACGTCTTGGCTCCAGGACACAGTCTTTGTGAAGACCATTCCTTTTTCTAGGGTGCTTCCTACTTCACTTCTTTTCAGATGCAATCCCATGTGAAAACATTGATTCCAGAGCACAGGGGTGTGCCCAGTTGGGTTCTGAGGGTTCTGTCTAGTACCTTTCAACAATAGTCACAGCTGCCAGCAACAGCATTTTCCACCTATTTTGAGGACCTTGCCTTGAACCTAGATCACCAGCCTAGACTCTCTTTCTCAGCATAGTATTTTTGGAGTCCTTTTTCTATTATCTGCATGGTCCACTCCAATGTGTATTCTTGCTTCAAATTCCAGGAAGAAGTGTGGGATAATGGATCCTCTCCTCCAAGAAGGTGCTGAACTCTTTATGAGAATTAATTCACCTTTTTCCCAGCAACCAGTTTTGCAAACCGGTGTTGTCAATAAGAGGTAGACACGACAGTGTAAAGAAAGTTTTTTAAAAATTATACTCTGATTACAAGACAATGCTGCTCTTCCTCCTTAGCCAACATGACTCTCTGGTTAACCCTTTGTGGGCAAATAAGTCACTTCAAGTGAGCCCAAGTTCTCCTCTCCATAGCTCTCACCCATGCGTTCTGGTCTGACTTCTGGCTGAATTCTTATTCAACTTGAATCTACTTCAAGTACTTGAAGGCAGCATGCATGTGAGAAACTCCAAGTCTGCCAAGACTGCATAGTGGTAAATAGCATATGGAGCCAATACCCAGAGGGTCTCACCAGCTGTGATGTGCCTTGGAAGCAGTTCTCAGAGGAAGCAAAGTCAAACCACTCAACAGTTCTTGCTGATGTTGAGCCCTCTCCTTGTGCCGAGCCCCAACACTCCATCCCTCTCCATGGAACATTCTTTCCCCTCCCTGGGGTGACTTCTTGCAACTCTTCCTGATTTTCTGCCATTTACTGAGCCGGCCATTGCAGCTTAGAAAGAGACTCCACATCTGGATGACATGTGGTCTTGCAGAAGTGTTAGCTGCCTTTTAGCTGGAGGAGTTCAGGGAGAGAGGATGCTTGATTTTTATTTATTTTTTTATTGTAAGGAGCTTGAAATGAGCATGTCACAGAGCCTGATTTCATCCCTCTAGAATGAGCCAGGCTGGGCCCAGCCCTTGCAGAACTTGCAGGTGGCTGCTGTGAGTTTTAGCTTGTGTTGAATATCTTGGGAAAATGAGCCCAGAACACAAAGCTGATTCCAGTGGCAGATCTGAGATCCTCTCTTTGCAAGTCTGAATGAGTATCAGCCATTCATTGGAATTTACTTAGAAATAAATAAAAGCTGCACACTTTCTTTTTCTGTAAATAAGATAAAGTGAGGCTCTCTAGGGCTGACCCACCTTGCAGCAATAACTGGCTGCTGTTCTCCCTGTGAATGCTTTCCTCCTCAACTGAGACACGTGCTGTCCTATTCAGGGGCCTTTCCAATTCCTCCTAATCTTCTGTATCCAGAAATGTGGACTTACTCAGCCTGATCATAGCATGGAAATTCTCCTAGGGTCCAGAACTCCTGCCCACACTCAGTCTGCTTGCTGGACAGCAGACAATGCCTCTAATTTTTATTCGAGAGGTGCCACACCTAAAGCTGGACAGGGAGGAAAAGTGGACTGAAGGGAGAATGTTATTTTTTTCATCACATGACCCTCTCTTGCTAAAGAGCAGGTTTACAATCAAGCTTACCAATCTTGAAAGGACTCTAAGAATCAAAGTGATTCCATAAATCTTTTTATCGGAGAATGAGTGAGCACAAGAGAGACCGAGACATGATTTTTTACTTTCTGCTCTATTTTATAAGCCATTGAGAAGCCAGAAAATGAATGTGCCTTTGCTATCCTTCCAAGATCATAGTTGGCACTTTCCTTAATGTTTCTTCTTCTGATGGCATTATTTATTTTTAGTGAATTATCTCTCCAGGTATACAGTGTCCAGAACTGCCTTTAAGAAATCCTATGTAAGATTACGTTATTACATCCTTCCACCATGGCCATACATCTTGTCCAATCAGATGCAGCCTGAAGTGAAAGTCACAAGCCTCTAAACTTATCAGGCTTCTGACCGCATCTGGACCACATCTGAGCTGACCCAGTGCCAGCTTTCATGCGTGAGCTGTATCTCCAATCAAGCTTTAATATTTTGACCTTGACTTTGCCCCCCAGATTCAAATAGCTTACCCGTTTTCATAAGTGTCACGCTTTTCATAGTCGGCCAGGCATCAGAACCAGCCCTCCCTCCTAATCTCTTTTCTCAAGCAGCTCAGCTTGGGTAGCCTCCCAAGGTCTTCCCAACATCAAACATTAGCCAAACCCCTTGTGCCTTCCTTACCCCAATCCCATATACTCACTAACATTGGAGGGGGAGCTCTTTTCCTCCACTTGTCTGGTGGGAAAAATATTCTCACGAGTCAAACTAAAAAATGGTGACTTTGGGAACCACACGATTAGATTGTGATAATGGAGTTGAGGGCTTTTAGTTAGAGGGATAAAGGCATTGTGACCAGATCCTGGCTGCTTTCTGGATCTTTTTGGTCCCTGTTCAGCAAAAGGGGCAAGGTCCTTCTCACACAGCTGGCATACTGGGGAAGGCCTCCTGGGTGAAGGTGGTACTGGTAGACAGGAAGCCCTGGGCAGGTGACTAGTCAGATGGTTACAGGCGGTAGGGGAGAAAGCTTCTTTTCCTCCTCTGTTCTTGCTCACTCTCTTCTTTTACCTTTAGAGGAGTAATGTCCAGGGGACAAAGCCACAATGGGCTCCTCAACTTGACTCTAGTCTAACTCTCAAGCTGAGAAGCAAGGGAGCCTTCAGGGGTTTCCCTTGACTAGCCCAGCTCACCCCAGGCAGGGAATTGTTGCAAAAGTCTAAACAATGTTCTGAGCTTGTTTTCTTAAGACATCAACAGGTTTGGTTGTAAGGAATGCTTTCAGCTCAGTGTTCAGTATGCCATGAAGGAGACACCTTGGCTACTCTACATGCCCTTTGGAAACCGACCGTGGCCATGTAAGATGATGGTGATCTCCCTGGGTTCTTGTGGATGGCTCACTGTGTGCCAGGCTCTGTTTTCTGTGGTTTTCTTACATTAATTCATGGATGAGTTGGGGCTGTTGTTATTCCCATTTTACAGATGGTGAAAATGAGGTGCACAGCAGTTAAGTACTTGTCCAAGTTTATTCAGCCTATCTTACTGGCACAACTAGGATTCAAGTGGAGGCAAGATTTGAACCTAGCCCTGTCTGACTCCTGAGCTCTAGCTGTCAATCACAGCATTATGCTGTATAGACTCTTTCATTAGGTTTATTTAACAAGCTGGTATTACTCATCTATCAAACAGACACTGGGTTAGGTCCTAGGAGCACTGCCATAGAGTAAGGCATATGCCTGCCATCATTTCTCACAGGATAATGAGGGGACAGAAAGCTTTCTTGTGCATTCTGCCATTGCCATCTTTGTGTGATCTGTGGCTGACTTCATGCTCTGCCAGACTAAGACCTTCCAGTCTCAGCCACCTAAGCTTCCTGCCCTCATTCCACTCTGGCTGTCAGTTTGGTGTCATCGGCAGATGGGCTACAAGAAGAGCCTGTCTATGGGTGCAGGGCAAGAAGTGGAAGGAGAGAATGTGCCACAAAGTCGGAATCCGTTGGACAGATGATGTGACAGCAGACATGGTGAGGTTGACAGCTGGAAAATAGCAGATAATAGCCCCTGCCCAGGCTGTGCTGCAGGAGATGGCATGCTGAGTGACATCATAATGGCTTGTGAAAATACTGCTCAGAGCCCATGGAAGCTGTTGCAGGACACACAGCCTGGTGCACTTCTTTGTTGCATTCACAAAGCCCACTCTGTTGGAGACAGAATCTGTACTGGGTTTTTCCCAGTAGTGCATTTAGGATGTGCCATGCGGAGACAACCAGTTGAACCTGGTGTCCACTTAGCCATGGCTCTTGCTAATAAACACTTGGCAAAAATGACTGCCAAAGACACTGGGATTTGGGTGAGTCTCACAGCAGCTCATGGTCTGCACTGCTATTACTTCTGAAGATAATTATAAAGATAACACCGGTTAAAATATCTAATGTTTTATTCAATATTTTGGTGAGTTTCAATTACTCCCAATTATAATTCAACAGCTTTTGTTTTTGAAACAATGATTGCCCTTTGCAATGAGCTTTGAAGCAAATAAATTGTTTGCCATTATTAGTCATTGTTCTGCCAGAGATTTTTCCCTCCACTTTTCCCCAACTCTATTGCCTTTCAATTTGGGGCTAACTAGTGTTATCTTTTGGTTAACCCTTTTCCTGCTCACCTCATTAACAACCAAGCTAACATACATAGTGAGGAATGAAACAAAGTAGCTTCAGTGACCCCTGAGACAATTATACTCATTAAAAATCAATGGGATCCAATTACTAGCAGCAAGACGCTTACTGAGTTTAAAATGTATTGAACATCAATCTCTAGCCAAGTGACAGCAGCAGATCACTGGAATCTGCCAACTGTGTCAGGAAGGAAGACACTTTCACTGGCTTCTGTTATTGCATTCAAAGCCACCTTCTTTTTGTCATTATCGCCATCTTTTGTTTACTGTGTAATTCCTTTCTATGTTAAGTGTTACATGCAAGGGAAGTTGTGAGGAATAAGGATTACCCTTAGTGAGATGGAATTGTAATTATAAAAAGGAGTCAGTGCCTACAAAAATATATGATTGTCATTTACAAAAAGCAGAAGCTAGAAGGAACAAATCTAAACCTGAAGATACCCAACACAGTTTGTGCAGCAGAATTCCATAACCCATTTTTATTGAATCCTGTTCTTGCCCTAGGAGCTCTGAAATAATTGAGATCACATTTCCCTCAACCAGGAACTTGTCATGCAAACTGTGGTCTGTGAGTTGATTATAATCACCAAGTTAACTATGTAGTTAACAATTGATTAAATATGGGTATTATTTGTAAAAATCTAGAATAATAGACTTAGAGACTGTTATTGGCATTGGTGAAATATAGCACCTTTGATACTTTGTAATACCTAAGGTACATTTGTTACAACTTAATAGTAGCATAATCTTCAAGCAAATTTAATATAAAAACTTCTTCTCTAAGAACCACCTTTCTGAATATATTTGGTATCATCATTCACACTTACCTGCCTCATCCCACCTGCCGCCCCATCCCCTGCAATGTTTCTATATGTCACTGTCTTGTCAGCGATGTTGGGTGTCGGCTTTTCATGTTGTCATCTGGCATTTGAACCACTGAGGAATATATTTTCACTCTGGGTGTATTCCACAGTAACTCTCAGTTCAACAGAGTGAAGTTCAGATTTTAATTGCTGTATATGTCTTTGACCTTAGAGTGAAAAAATATTTTTAAAGAGAATACTGTTTCATATATTCTTTTGTTTTTTTTTTGCTTAATTTCTATAGAAATGGATGGGGGAAAAAACAGTCTTTCTGGCTGATTAGCAGTAGACAGAGCCAAATGGAGGACTCATGAACACATCTTTTTTTTTTTTCTTTTGAGATGGACTTTCACTCTTGTTGCCCAGGCTGGAGTGCAATGGTGCGATCTCGGCTCACCGCAACCTCCGCCTCTTGGGTTCAAGTGATTCTCCTGCCTCAGCCTCCTGAGTAACTGGGATTACAGGCATGCACCACCACGCCTGGCTAATTTTGTGTTTTTAGTAGAGACAGGGTTTCTCCATGTTGGTCAGGGTGGTCTCAAACTCCCAATCTCAGGTGATCCGCCCACCTCAGCCTCCCAAAGTGCTGGGATTACAGGCATGAGCCACCGCACCTGGCCATGAACATATCTTTGATTTCCTAATTAAGCAATTGCATGGGAAAGACTTGAAGAAAACTGTATCTGGGTGAAAAAATCGGGGACTTCAATGTGTTCATGTTAATCTTGGAGTACTTATTCCGCATCTATTCAGATGTCAGATACGCAATGGGCATATAGATCTAGGACTCTAATCAGAGAATGCATCTAGAAATACAAGTTGGGGAAACTCAGACATTAGAAGGCCCTGTCTCTAAAAAAATAAAAGATGATGAGACATGATCAACTCATTAACTCACCTTGGAAGAGACTACATATAGGGAAGAACAGATGGCTATGGACCAAGCTAGGGGGCACTGCAGTATTCAGAGGTTAAGCCAAGGACAAGAGGTAACGAAAGCAGCCGGTGAGGAAGGAGGAAAACTAGAATAGTGGTTGCTGTTCCATAATCCCAGAGAAGTGGTATTTCAAAATAACAAAGCAGTCTACTTGCAAATGCTACAAAATCGTCCAGAAAAAGAAGGACTGAGAAGTGACTTTTAAATTGTATAATATAAAGATACTTGGTTTCAGCAAAGTGATTGTGAGAAAAGTTTTATTGGCATGGGTTTCAAAGAAGGAGGATATTGGCCAGAGAAACTCTTCTGTGAGTAGAGAGAAGAAACATGGGCTGCAGGTATAAAGGATCTGAAGTCAAAATTTTATTTTCTGTTGTGTTGGTTTGCTTTAAGGTAGCAGAGAGTAGAGCACATTTGTCTGCTTATGGGATCCTCCAGGGAAAAAAGAAGAAATTAATGCTGCTGAAGACAGTATCTAATTGCAAATTCCTTGAGAAAGAATGTACAGTTGCCGTCACAGGTGGAGAATTCAGAACACTAGCTGGTAGTGAAAATCTTTAATTCACAGGATCCTAGAATGTTTGTGCTAGGAGGGCATTAGCAGGCATCTGGTGAAATCAATCATTTGCTGATTCATTCCTTCAAGTAATAGCTTTTGGATATCTTTTTTTTTAAATTTTTTAATTATACTTTAAATTTTAGGGTACATGTGCACAACATGCAGGTTAGTTACATATGTATACGTGTGCCATGTTGGTGTGCTGCACCCATTAACTTGTCATTTAACATTAGGTATATTCCCAATGCTCTCCCTCCCCCCTCCCCCGACCCCACAACAGGCCCTGGTGTGTGATGTTCCCCTTCCTGTGTCCAAGTTGTTCTCATTATTCAATTCCCACCTATGAGTGAGAACATGCGGACAGTTTGCTGAGAATGGCGGTTTCCAGCTTCATCCATGTCCCTACAAAGGACATGAACTCATCATTTTTTATGGCTGCATAGTATTCCATGGTGTATATATGCCACATTTTCTTAATCCAGTCTATCATTGTTGGACATTTGGGTTGGTTCCAAGTCTTTGCTATTATGAGTAGTGCCGCAATAAACATACATATGCATGTGTCTTTATAGCAGCATGATTTATAATCCTTTGGGTATATACCCAGTAATGGGATTGCTGGGTCAAATGGTATTTCTAACTCTAGATCCCTGAGGAATAGCCACACTGACTTCCACAATGGTTGAACTAGTTTACAGTCCCACCAACAGTGTAAAAGTGTTCCTGTTTCTCCACATCCTCTCCAGCACCTGTTGTTTCCCGACTTTTTAATGATTGCCATTCTAACCGGTGTGAGATGGTATCTCATTATGGTTTTGATTTGCATTTCTCTGATGGCCAGTGAAGATGAGCATTTTTTCATGTGTCTTTTGCCTGCATAAATGTCTTCTTTTGAGAAGTGTCTGTTCGTATCCTTTGCCCACTTTTTGATGGGGCTCTTTGCTTTTTTCTTGTAAATTTGTTTGAGTTCATTGTAGATTCTGGATATTAGCCCTTTGTCAGATGAGTAGATTGCAAAAATTTTCTCCCATTTTGTAGGTTGCCTGTTCACTCTGATGGTAGTTTCTTTTGCTGTGCAGAAGCTCTTTAGTTTAATTAGATCCCATTTGTCAATTTTGGCTTTTGTTGCCATTGCTTTTGGTGTTTTAGACATGAAGTCCTTGCCCATGCCTATGTCCTGAATGGTAATGCCTAGGTTTTCTTCTAGGGTTTTAATGGTTTTAGGTCTAACATTTAAGTCTTTAATCCATCTTGAATTAATTTTTGTATAAGGTGTAAGGAAGGGATCCAGTTTCAGCTTTCTACATATGGCTAGCCAGTTTTTGGATATCTTTTATGGAAGCATGATTGAAGTAGAACCCGTGCCCTTAATACATAAAAGTATGCTTTTTTTAATAAACAAGAAAAATGTGCTTCAGACAGTAGAGTATCTTGCTTGAAGTCTTGAACTTTGTCCAGCCAGAGCTAGATGAAAATCCATTGCCTCTCTACTGTCTTTCCATTGTTCTTTTCAGTTTTCCATCCAACCACTGAACCAGAGCCTCATATTCTTTCTTTTCTTTTTTATTTTTTGAGACAGAGTTTTGCTCTTGTTGCCCAAGCTGGAGTGCAATGGCGCGATCTCAGCTCACTGTAACCTCTGCCTCCTGGGTTCAAGACATTCTCCTGCCTCAGCCTCCCTAGTAGCTGGGATTACACACCTGGCTAATTTTTTGTATTTTTAGTAGAGATGGGGTTTCTCCATGTTAGCTAGGCTGGTCTCGAACTCATGACTTCAGATGATCCACCTGCCTCGGCCTCCCAAAGTGCTGGGATTACAGGCATAAGCCACCACACCCAGCCAGAGCCTCATATTATAATTTATTACATGGGTATCCAAGACAATGAGAACTGATTGAACAAGTTTTACATTGGGTTTACAAAAAAATGAAGAAGACACACATGAATACACATTCTCATTGGGGAGAATACTATGCATACTTCAAAGAATTTTTGTGGAGATTGAGAAATAGTGTGTGATATTTCCTGAAAATAAGACTCCGTTGTAACCAGCCTGGGCAGCATAGTGAGACTCCATCCCTATAACAATGTTTTAAAAACGTAGCCAGGCATGGTGGTGCATGCCTGTAGACCTAGCCACTTGGGAGGCTGAGGCAGGAGCTTCACTTGAGACCAGCAGTTTGAGGTTACAGTGAGTTATAATTGCACTGCTGCACTCCAGTCTGGGCAACATAGTGAGGCCCTGTCTCTAAAAAAAAATTTTAAAAACACAAAACATCTCTGTTATATCAACATAAATAGTATGTTACATTTATATGGACCTAGTAATTCAGGCTAAATGGTGGAGAATCAAGAGAGTCCAACTTGAGAAAACCCAAAGAGAAAAATTAAAACATTTTTGTTATAAATATTTATTTTAAAAAGGCGTAAATGCAACAACTTTAAAGAAAAAGCAGCTGAATGAAAACTGCAGATAAAACCATTTAAAAAATTGTCTGGGCACGGTAGCTCACGCCTGTAATCCCAACACTTTGGGAGGCCGAGGCGGACGGATCACTTGTGGTCGGAAGTTCGAGACCAGCCTGACCAACATGGAGAAACCCCGTCTCTACTAAAAATACAAAATTAGCCAGGCATGGTGGCACATGCCTGTAACCCCAGCTACTTGGTAGGCTGAGGAAAGAGAATCACTTGAACCCAGGAGGCAGAGGTTGTAGTGAGACGAGATTGTGTCATTGCACTCCAGCTGGGCAACAAGAGTGAAACTCGGTCTCAAAAAATATATATCAATAAAAATCATAATATATGTAATATATAAGTGTATATAATACAATTGTATATATCATATATAATATATAATTGTATATAATACAATTGTATATATCATATATAATATATAATTGTATATATACAGCTAAGTAGCCTGCTAATACAGCTAAGTAGCCTGCTAATACAGCTAAGTAGCCTACTAATATAATGCACAGAACAGCCCCTCAAGACACAGAGTTATTGGGCCCTGAATGTTAATAGTGCCGAGGTTGAGAAACCTTATAATTAATAATCACAACTACTTTGTTTGAAACTTATACTATAATTAAATGTAAAAATCCACTTATCAGATTTTGAATACCTCATGAACACTTCTGCCTCAGTTTCTTTGTCACAGCCTAACTCAATCTCATTGGAAGTAAATAAGATGCTTGTTAAAATGCAGATTCCCGGGTGCTGGCAACTGTTTATTAACTCAGACTCACTAGAGGTACAGCCCAGAATCTGCACTTTTGAGAAGACTTTTGTGCTAAATATTGAAGTATGAAGGTCCCTTGACCATGTCCTATTCTGAAAGTCCTTCCGGTTTTCTGTCTTCCTAAACCCTATAACGCCCTATTCAAATCTCTCATCCAAATGAGACTTTTCTGGTATCTCTCTCCTCTGGCTGTAGTAAAATACTAACATATTACATGCTGCTAATATCTTTTCTGGCGTTTAGTTACATTTTTAGGTCTATTAACCTGGTATGGTTGTAAACTCCTCAAAGTCAAATAACAAATTGCATACTACTTTCAGACTACCCAAAGGCCAAGCACAGTGCCTATTATAAAGTGGATGGAGGTTGACTACATCCAATTCTTATGTTCCTGGAACAATGCTGCAGTTTTATACTAGACCTTTCCTAGAGACACTAGAATTTCATAAAATTCAAGTGGAAAGTTTCTTGCTGATGTTAATCATACATGATCCCTCAAATGATGAATCAGCAGAGCTCAACTTCATAGACTCAGCAAGGATAAATCAGAAAAGGCAGCTGGCTCACAAACAGCTCAGACGAGCTTTCCCTAACTCACCTCTCAAACTTTGATCCATTAGCTAATCATCCTTTTCACACACAAAACATGTGAGCTGCTGGTCCATTAGAACAAGTCTCATCCAGTAGCCTGCATTCTCACAACAGGAGAAAAATTATGAAAACAACAACAACAACATGAAAGTAGGCACCAGAATGGGTAGTTCAATTGAGTTAGGAATTGGTAAGGGTATGAGGGAAACTGTAGAAGTCAAAGTTAGGGAAAGGTGAGCTGCAGCTATGCTGCAGAAAGTCATGCATACCAGATCAAGGAAGGAAGCTGTATAATCCATCAAAAGTTTCTAAAGTGATGATGTGGTCGCAGCTGGGCTTCAGAGGGATTAATCTGCCATCCATGTGAAGGATGAGTTGGAGACAGACAAAACTGGCAGGCCAGGACACATTTAAAAAGCGACCAGAAGGGGTGACATTAGCAAAAATGGAAGAATAAGGATCTTCAATAATCCTCTTTTCCACCAAAGCAAGGAGAACGCTGGCAAAAATGGACAGAATCCACTTTTTCCAAACTCTGAAAATTAACCAAAGGCTTACAGCAGTCTTGGAGGATTTAGTCAAGAAAAAGTGGCTGAATGTCTATAAGAACAAGTTTTGTGAAAAAGATAAAAATAAGCAAATTCTGTGGCTTCATTTGCCCCATCCTTCTCTGCCCAGATCCTCTGGGCAGCTTCCCATACTCCTCTGCCCAGCTTCAAGGTAGCCTTGAAAACCAAGAGCCTACAAAAACAATGTACACCAGAAAGCCCAACAGTCAGGGAGAAGAAAAGACCTGCAGCTTCTTCAAAGCCCTATTCCCCTAAACTGTCATTATTGGACCCATTTGATAGGTCCCTGGAAGGTCACAGTCACAAGGCTGCATTTATTTGACCTGACTCAGAATTTGCTTGTTGCAAACAACTTTCCCCTAAGGCATTTATCAAAAATAGTCAGCAGCAAATATTCAACCTTATGGTTACCTGAGGTATAACAATTGGGACCAACAATAGGCTAACCAAAAAGCTGAAAAGGAAAGGCTGGGGGTGAGATATTCATAGGGGTTTTGAAAAGCTTTGGAATATTCCTGGAAATCTAGAAGGCAATACATATGTGTAAGGGATGTGTTTATGCCTGCTACTGTATAGTTGCTCAGAAGGGCCCTAAAAAGCTGTTAAGTTCTTGCCCTTTGCTAACCATGAGACTTTCAGCAACAAGGAAGTGAAGTCAAGAGCAGAGTTGTAAACTGCCTGGCAGAGTGCTGAAGGCATGGTGCAATACACACACACACACACACACACACACACACACACACACACACACACACACACACACACCCTGGCAAAGTTTGAAGGCTGATTCATTTCAGATGTTTAAGAAAATATTTGCTCAATCATTAGCTTATCTCTAAGCTAAGGAGAGATGTCAGTGACCAAACATAGTAAAGGTTTCAGACCTTATAGAATTACCTCAGAAAAGTCATTAAACAAACAACAAAAATCAAGAAAGTATCACCTATGCACAGGGGAGGAAAAGAAATCAGCAGAAACTGTCCTTGAGGAATCCTAATCCCAGACATTGGGCTTACTAAACAAAGCTATTTTAAATATGTCCAGAGAACTAAAAGAAACTGTATCTAAAGTCCTGAAGGAAACTATGAATACAATGTCTTACAAAGTACAGACTATCAATAAAAAACTGAAAGTACTTAAAAATTATAAAATAGAAATTCTGAAGTTGAGAAGCACAATAACTGAATTAAGTATTATCAGAGGAGCTCAACAGAAGATTTAACCTAGCAGAAGAAAGAATCAGCAAACTTGAAGATTGTTCATATGAGGTTATGCAGTCTGAGAGAAGAAATAAAAAAGAATAAAGAAAGTGAACAGAGGCTCAAAGACTGCAAAACATCAAGTATACCAACATAGATATAATATAACAAATGTTCTCAAAGGAGAGGAAAAAGAAGCAAAGGTGTCGACAGTATAGTTGAAGAAATAATGAGTGAAATGTTACAAATTTGGTGAAAAACAAATATATATCCAAGAAGTTTAACAGACTAGAATACATTTTAAAAGATCTATACCTAGGCACATTATAATAAAACTGTCTAAGACAGAAAATATTGAAAACATCAAGAGAGAAGCAAACAATTCTTCTCATACTAAGAGATGCTTAGAAACATTAAGAGATTATTTATAGTGAGAAACTATGAAGTCCAAACAACATAGTCTAAATGTTGGAAAAAAAGCTATCAACCAGGAATTTTAGACCAAGCAAATCTACTCATAAAAAATAAAGTAATTAAGAAATTTTCAGGGAAAATAAAAGCTAAACTGAGAGAATTTGTCATTAGCAGACCTGCACTACAAGAAATATTAATCAGTATAAAGAAATGAAGAATACCAGTAAAGGTAACTACATAGGTAAATATAAGTGACAGATTTTAATATATATTTAAAATTTGACCTTTTTTTTAACCTCCTATCTGATTTTAAATACAGTAGTATAAAACAATAATTATAGATATTAGTTGCTGGTCATTCAATGTATAAAGATGAACATTCTATGACAACAGTGCACAAAGAAGAGGGAAGGAATGGCACTATTTAGGAGCAAACTTTTGCTATGTTATTGAAATTAAGTTGGTACTAATCCAAATTAGATTGGTATAAATTAAGATGTTAGTTATAATCTCCAGGGAACTACTGAGAAGATAACTCAAAAATATAGTAAAGGAAATGACAAAGGAATTAAAATGATATATTAGAAAATGTTTATTTAACATAAAAGAAGACAACATTGGTAGAATAGAGAAATAATAAAGACAAAGGACAAATAGAAAACAAATAACATCATGGCAGACAAAATTTCTTTCTATTTAGTAATTATATTAAATGTAAATAGATTAAACAATCCAGTTAAAAGGCAAAGATAGAAATAATGGATTAAAAATTAAATACACACACACACTCACATACATCATTATTCAATGCTGTGCTGCCTAAAGAGATTTCATTTTAGATTTAAAAACACAAATAGGTTAAAAATAAGATTATGGAAAAATGAAATTATGAAATAAAATTATGGAAATATAATGCAATAATCCAAAGTGATCGTGAGTGATTATAGTAATTTGAGGCAAAATAGACTTTAAGAGAAAAACTGTTACCAGAGGCCAAGAAAGTTAGTTTATAATGATAAAAGGGTCAATCCATAACAATACAAAACAGTTATAAACAAATAAGCTCCTATAAACAGACCCCAAAATAGAAGAAGGGAAAACTCACACAATTATAAGGAGAAATAGATAATTCAACTGGTATAGTTTGAGACTTTAACACTCCATTTTCAATACTGGAGGAAAAAGTAGACACAGAGCGAGAAAATAGAAGACTTGAAAAAGGCTATAAATAAACTGGATCTGACAGACATCTGTAGAACACGCCACTTGACGACAACAGTAAACACATTCTTCTTTGTACATGCATACAAAGGTTTCTCTAGGATACACCATATGTTAAGTCATCAAACAAGTCTCAGTAATGTAAAAGCGTTGTTACATGTGTTCTTAGACCACAGTGTAATAAAATTAGGAACAATAACAGAAAAAATTCATGAAACCCATAAATTTGTAGAAATGAAACAACACACTTCTAAGTGACATGAGGGTCAAAGAGAAATCATAGGGAAATTTCTAAAACACTGAGCTGAATAAAAACAAAAACAGTATGTGATGCAGTAAAAGCAGTGCTTACAGAAAAACTGGTATTTGCAAATAACTATACTTGAGAAGAAAAATGTCAAACCAAACATTTAATCTTTAGAACTAGGGAAGGAAGAATAAACTAACCCCCAAACATGCAGAAAGATTGACTTAATAAAGATAAAAGTGGAGATAAATTAAACAGAGAATAGAAAAACAATAGAGGGAATCAATAAAACAAAAGTTGGTTCAAAATGTCAACGAAATTTGGAAACTTTTATCTAGAGTGACCAAGAAAAGAGGAAAGAAAGGCTCAAAATATTAAATCAAAAAAGTGTGGACATTGTTACATAATTTATTAGAATAAAAGTATTCAGAAAAGAAAAACGTAGACAAATGTGTGCCAACAAGTTGGAAACCTACACGAAATGAGCAAGTTTCTTGAAACACGTAAACTACCAAAACTGACTCAGGAAGAAATAGAAAATCTAAATAGATCTATATCAATTAAAAAGCCCAGGTGGCTGTACTGTTGAATACTACCAAAATTTAAAAGAGGAATTAACACGAATCTTTTACAAAGTCTTTCAAAAAAAATAGGGCAGGAAGGAACAGTTTCTAATTCAACATATGAGGGCAATATTATGTGGTACCAAAACCAGACAGACGTAACAGAAAAAAGAAAACCACAGATCAATATCCCTTATGAACATAAATCTAAAAATCCTTATCAAAATACTAGCAAAAGGCGTTAGCAAGATACAGAAGGATTATACAATATGATGTGAGGTTTATCCCAAAAATGCAAGGTTGGTTCAACAATAAAAATGAATAACTGCAATAACCATATTAATTAAGGACAAATACAACATAATCTTCACAGCGAAAGCATTTGGCCAATACAGCACCTTTTTGTGATTAAAAAAAATTCAACAAATTAGAAATAGTAAGATGGGGCGCGGTGGCTCATGTCTGTAATCCCAGCACTTTGGGAGGCTGACTGAGGCGGGCAGATCACCTGAGGTTGGGAGTTTGAGACCAACCTGACCAACATGGAGAAACCCTGTCTCTACTAAAAATACAAATTAGCCGGGTGTGGTGTCACATGCCTGTAATCCCAGCTACTCGGGAGGTTGAGACAGGAGAATCGCTGGAACCCCGGAGGCAGAGGTTGCAGTGAGCCAAGATTGCACCATGGCACTCCAGCCTGGGCAACAAGAGTGAAACTCCATCTAAAAAATAAAAAAAAAAAAAAAAAAAAAAAAAAAATAGTAGTGAACTTCTTCAACCTAAAAGAGTGCATCTAAGCAAAACCCACAGACAACATTGTGCTTAATAAGAAAGATTTGAACATTTTATTCTAAAGCAGAAACAAAAGATGTGTGCTTTTGTCACTTCCTTTCAACATTGTATTGAACATTTTAGCTAAGGCAATTAATAAAATAAATGAAGTGCATCCAGATTTGAAATAAAGAAATCAAGTTATCTCTATTTGCAGATTGCATGATATTATTCCTGGAAGTTCTAGGGAATATAAACACACACATTCTCAATATTACACCTAATAAAGGAATTCAGCAAGTTTGCAGGATATGAGATTAATATAAATTGTGTATTCATATACTATCAATGAAACATCCAAAAATGAAATTAAGAAAACAATTTCATTTAAAATATCAAAATAATAAAAATATTTGGGAATAAATTTAATAAAAGGAAAAGATTTATACACTGAAAAGTATAAACATCATTACAAATTTTAAAAAAAGGAATAGAAATACATTTGTGTTCATGGATTGGAAGACCTATTATTGTTAAGAAGTCAATACTCTCCAAATTGGTGTATGGATTTAATGCAATCTGAGTCAAAATCCCCAGTTGCCCATTTTGCACATATTGAAAGCATATGTGGAGTTTGGGACTAAAGACAGCATTAAAATCATACAGAAATGGAAGTTAGGTGTTCTATCTGGAGCAATTTTGAAAATGAAGAACAAAGCTGGAGGAATCACATTTTCCTATTTCAAAACTCACTACAGCCTAGTGGTGGCTCACGCCTGTAATTTCAACACTTTGGGAGGCCGAGGCAGGTGGATCACCTGAGGTTAGGAGTTTGAGACCAGCCTGGCCAACACGGTGAAATCTCATCTTACTAAAAATACAAAAAAATTAGCCGGGTGTGGTGGCAGATGCCTGTAATCCCAGCTACTCTGGAGGTTGAGGCAGGAGAATCGCTTGAACCCGGGAGGCAGAGGTTGCAGTGAGCCGAGATTGTGTCACTGCACTCCAGCCTGGGCAACAAAAAAGAAACTTTGTCTCAAACAAACAAACAAAAATCACTACTACAAAACTACAGAAGACAAGATGGTGTAATCTTGGCATAAAGATAGACACACACACACACGCACACATGCACACACACACGTATAGGACATAATTGAAAGTTGAGAAATGAAACTGTACACTGTTCTTGACACTCTTGTTGAAAATCAATTTCAGTAGGGAGAATAGTCTTTTCGCAAATGATATTGGGACAACTGGATATTCAGATGCAAAACAATTAATTTGGAACCATACTTCAGTCTATAATAATTAACTCCAAATGGTCCAAACAACAAAAAGCTAAAAATATAAAGCTCTTAGAAGATAAACTAGGTGTATATCTTTATAACTGGATTAGGCAGTGTTTTCTTAAATACAATACCAAAAACACAAGGAAACAAGGAAATAGATCACAATCAAAATTAAAATATTTTGTTTGTTGATGGGCAGACATTATAAGGAACATGAAAATACACCCCATCTAATGAGAAGCAGTATTTGAAAATCATATGTATTTGATAAGGGTCTAGTGTCTGAAATATACAAACATTTGTATTTCTTTTTTCATTTTTTGAGATGGAGTCTTGGTCTGTCGCCCAGGCTGGAGTGTAGTGGCTCTGTCTCGGCTCACTGCAACCTCCACCTCCCAGGTTCAAGCTATTCTCCTGCCTCAGCCTCCTGAGTAGCTGGGATTACAGGTGCATGTCACCACGCCCTGCTAATGTTTGTATTTTTAGTAGAGACTGGTTTTCACCTGTCTCTTGGTCAGGCTGGTCTCGAACTCCTGACCTCATAATCCGCCCACCCTGGCCTCCCAAAGTTCTGGTGTTACAGGTGTGAGCCACCACACCCTGCCTTATAGTTCTACAATAAAAAGATAAATAATTAAAAATGGGCAAATCATTTTAACAGAAATTTCTTCAAAGTTTTTCAAATGGTTAATCATCACATGAAAAATTGCTCAACATCATTAGACATTAGCTAAATTGAAATTAAAACTTCGTTAGATACTACTTCACTCCCATTGGGATGACTATAATAAAAAAGAGAGTAATAAGGGTTGTAGAATGTGGAGAAATGAGAACCTTTATGCATTATTAGTGGAAATACAAAATGGTATAGCTGCTTTGGAAACCAGTCTGCCAGTTTCTCGAAAGTTAAATATACTATGTCATATGACCCAGCAATTCCATGCCTATGTATATGCTCAAGGGAAATGAAAACACGTGTCCACATAAGTACTTATACAAGAAGGTTCACAGAAGCATTATTCATAAAAGCCAAAAGGTGGAAAAAAAATTTCTATCAACTGATGAATGGATAAACTAAATGTGGTGTATCTGTGGAATGGTGTATTATTCAGCCATAAAGAGGAATAGAATACTGATTCCTCTTTATAGAGGTTTATAAAGCAACAGTATGAATGAAACTTGAAAACATTCTGCTAAGTGAAAGAAGCCAGACATAGAAGTCCACATCTTTTATGATGGATTAATATGAAAAGTCCAGAATATACAAATATATAGAGACAAAAAGGGAGGGACACAGGAGATTGACTGTTAATGGGCATGGAGTTTCTTTTTAGAGTGATGAAAATGTTTTGGAATTAAATATTGATGATTTTTCAACATTGCTCATATACAAGAACTACTGTATTGTACTCTTAAAAGCTGCAAATTGTATGCTATGCAAATTATATCTCAATTAAAAATAAATGATTGCAGCAAACCTGCGTTTATTTCAGCGGCAAAAGAAATGGAGACAAACAGAGCCCACAGATTCCCTTCACATGACTGAAAATAGTGGATTTTCTATATGCTTCTGTAGCCAACACGGTAGTATGTAATTTATTCAAAGTATTTTCAGCTACCTGAATGGGCAGAGCTGACAATAATTAGCGCCAGAATCAACTGGGGTTTGGGACTAAAGACGGCATTAAAGCAGATGGCAGATAGGAAGAAGAGATTTCTGCAGTACAGCCTCGGGAAAGATAAAGAAACTACATTCTAGCTTGCTAGAGAGTAGAAAGCTGAAATGTAGGTAAAAAGAAGCTAATGGAACTAAATCAGTGCATTCTGTTATACTCTGGCATAAAATTATTACAGGCTATATAATCCTGAATGTAAATTGGGAAGGGTGTTGGGAAATCCCAGTGAGGATTCATTGGGAGTTTTTCCTTAGCCAGGCCAAATCAAATAAGTCAGGGGTCTCTAGAGAAGATTCTTAAATCAGGAGGAAGCTTTTATTTTATTTATTTTATCGTTTAATTTTTCAATTAAAAGTTCATGTATTCTAGGGATGTTGACACTTCCAAGAGATTCCAATGAAAATAACTATTGATAGTCTCAAAATTCCTTTTGGGAAAGGATATCCCAAGGTAATAGTAACTGGTGAAGCCTTTTCTACTTAGAAATGGGATAAGTGCTTTCTTTTCAATTTTAGCAACATCACAGTTTATATTGAGGGGAGAAAAAAGCTTGGACATCATCCAAGTTCTCCACAAAAGAGAACCAGCTAAGCCACTGTCTCACAAATGGTGCCTCCTTTAAACATATTAAAATGGTAATAGGTTTCAATTTCAATATATGTAAAGCTCTAAACCTTGAAATGAATTAACAAAACAGAAAATTATATGTCAACTAATTACATTGTAAATATTTAAAAATACTATATGTATGTGTATTAAGAAAACAAAGAGGATTTGGAAAGAAGGGACAAACATACTTGCCAGATTCTCTGTCAGTTATTTTTATTTAGTCCTTGGAAGACTGTGAAGGTAGTAATATCCCAATTTTATGGACAAAAAATTAATATAAAGAACATTTTAATATAATTTGTTCTGGGACATTCACCTGATAAAAGGTGGAGACAAGATTCAAACAAAGGCCCTTTGACTCTTGAGTTTATTGATCCATAACCCAGTGAAATATAATTTAATAATGTTGCCATTTTTTTCTTGGTTTAACAATTTACTGAAGTCTGAATGTGGTGAGATATCAATAGGAAATGTTTCTGTTTTTTTCTAACTACTGCCGTCATGTTAAATCTCTCTTTTCCATCTCTTAATGATGGCAGTTCTGATAGGTGTTTGTCATTTGCTATCATTAAAAAGTCCAGTCTGGCCAGGAGCTGTGGCTCACACCTATAATCCCAGCACTTTGGAAGGCCAAGGCGGGCGGATCACGAGTTCAGGAAATCAACACCGTCCTGGCTAACGCGGTGAAACCGCATCTCTACTAAAAATAGAAAAAAATTAGCCAGGCATGGTGGCACGCGCCTGTAGTCCCAGCTACTGGTGAGGCTGAGGCAGGAGAATCGCTTGAACCCGGGAGGCAGAGGTTGCAGTGAACTGAGATCGTGCCACTGCACTCTAGCCTGGCCAACAGAGACTCCGTCTCAAAAAAAAAAAAAAAAAAAAAAAAAACAGTCTAACCTAATTTCATCTCATTTTAAACCCTGGCTTGATGCCCTTCTAAAATATTTATTATTTCTCCTTTCTCTTATATCTACCAAACTTCAACCCACAGAATTTGCAGCCCAAGGGAGACTTCGTGACTGGTATGTAGGACGTTTTCTCCATTCTTCTGTCTTCTGATTCCAGTTCCTGTGATTTAAGCTTGGGAGGAGGGAGTATGAGAGAGGAAAGAAATAATCTTCTGTAACCAGCATCTTATTGGTGGTCCTGTTTGACTCTTTCAGCTTCTTTTTCAAATAATGCAGATATCCAAATGTTGGTTCTGTCATGGAGTGCATGTGTGGGTTATCCATGGGACCATAGAGACATCCCTACTGTTAAGATCTAAGGTGTCCTAGTTAGGAGATCTGCCCCAGCTTCATCTCCTGAAGCTCACCCATCTTCTCCCCATCTCCTCAGATTCTTCCCCAGGAGTCCATCTATTTGGCCCCATTAGCTGTATTCCTTTGCCCTGTGTGCCAGCCTTCTGGTATACTAGCAAGCTAGCTGAAGTCAGGCTGCTTAACAGGCATTCATTTGGTCTGCTCAGTGGAAACTCAGGCTGCTTGCCATGGCAAACACTGTGAGCCCAGGCATCCCTGGAGCCACACTTCCTTATTCTGCTGCCTCTCTCATATTCCTTTTGTGTTTCTGTTCAAATAGGTTGAGAGAAAAATTAGCAGATCCACTGCATAAGCACTTACTCCAGTAAAAACTAAGAATTCATTCTGCCTTTTCTGCAGCACTAATCTAATCTCTATGAATTGTTCTCTTGGACATCATCTCGCCTTTCTTGGCATGGTTGAAAGAAGCATCCACTCTCCTTATGGCAGGGAGGGAAATGGACACACCAACTCTCCCAGGCTAATGAGTCACGTCTCTGACCTTTCCACACTTCTTCCCTGCTACCTCCTCCCTCCCTAGTCTTAACTCATAGTCAGACTTGAGTGGTGGTGGTAGCTCAGTTATACTGACATTGTGGAACAACGCCCCCTACCCCCACCACCCCACCATCACTCACTATAAAGCCTGGAGAAAATTTCTGTCCTCTAAAAATTCAGATCTCATTTTTGAGTGTAGAGTACTTTACTCATGTATGTCTTAGCTTTGTATCCTGGTCCAAGATAATAGAACCCCTTCAGCATCCAGTTACACTTGTTAGGTCACCAAACTGCAAAGTAATGCTTAGAAAAGATGGCACAGGTCCAGTTATATGATACATTAGCACTTTGGAGGGTTTCTTGCCATTCCCTGATGCCTAAAACGTATTAAGAAAAATAGAAAATAATAAAGTAATATAACATTGAAAATTATATATCTGAAATCAAAGGGGGGAAACTAAGAGAAACATAAAATTTGCTATAGTTTAAGAAGTTAAGTGAGAGTATGAATACAGAACAATAAATACTGTCTTTGCTTTTGTACCCAAATTAGCAGGAAGTGAGAGACAGGACTAGCTGGATTTCCTAGGCCAACTAAGAATCCCTAAGCCTATCTGGGAAGGTGACCGCATCCACCTTTAAACACGGGACTTGCAACTTTGCTCACACCTGACCAATCAGGTAGTAAAGAGAGCTCACTAAAATGCTAATTAGGCAAAAACAGGAGGTAAAGAAATAGCCAATCATCTATCGCCTGAGAGCACAGGAGGA
Source organism: Homo sapiens (assembly GCF_000001405.40). Lineage (NCBI taxonomy): Eukaryota > Metazoa > Chordata > Mammalia > Primates > Hominidae > Homo > Homo sapiens. The sequence goes on along the minus strand of NC_000015.10, from coordinate 87,546,878 downwards.
GGGACAATGATTGGGACATAAACCCAGGCATTCGAGCAGGGAGTGGCTACCCACTTTGGGTCCCCTCCTGTTGTATGGGAGCTCTGTTTTCACTCTATTAAATCTTGCAACTGCACACTCTTCTGGTCCGTGTTTGTTACGGCTTGAGCTGAGCTTTTGCTCTCCATCCACCATGCTGTTTGCCACCGTCAGAGACCCGCTGCTGACTTCTGTCCCTCTGGATCCGGCAGGGTGTCCACTGTGCTCCTGATCCAGCAAGGTGTCCATTGCCACTCGGGATCGGGCTAAAGGCTTGCCATTGTTCCTGCACGGCTAAGTGCCTGGGTTCATCCTAATTGAGCTGAACACTAGTCTCTGGGTTCCACGGTTCTCTTCCCTGACCCACAGCTTCTAATAGAGTTATAACACTCACTGCATGGCCCAAGATTCCATTCCTTGGAATCTGTGAGGCCAAGAACCCCAGGTCAGAGAGCAAGAGGCTTGCCACCATCTTGGAAGCAGCCCGCCACCATCTTGGGAGCTCTAAGAGCAAGGACCCCTGTAACAGAAGGGCTCTGATCTCCAGGTTGCCTAATATCAACAGGCTTTGGCATCAGTTGTAAAAGTTAAGCTAAAATCCTTCACTTCTAGTGATTAAGAAACTTCAAATATCTGTTCGCTAACCCTGATTACAGCTCTTAGTGTTATTTAGAATTACCATACTTTGGGGCAAACTCTCTTTCTAGGCAGATTTAATTCACTGAGTCCCCTTTGGAATACACCAGCTAACTGGTCCATTCACCAACCTTAAGCATGTCAGCAATTTCCTGCTTCTTTAGTTTTTCTCATGCTACCCCTACCTAAGAAGCTGTCCCTTCATTAGCTCACAAAATCCCACCCATTGCTGGAAAGCCAGATCAAAACCAACTTTCTGTATCCTGCTGGGGGAAATTCTCTATTCTGCATTCCTCTCTGGAAAATGTATTGCCTTGAGTTGTTACTGAGTGTTTTTCTAGAATGTCTGTGTATCCCACTGGGTATCTGATGATGTGTTCTCTAAAGTGACCATATTTATTCTTATTGTTGTTTGTTTGGCAGAGGAGGGAGGAGTTCAAAAGTTCTCACCTTGAGGATTGTATAAAAAATAGACAAAAGCATGTGCTGGATCATCTGAATGACCAACAAATAACAGACTAAACACCCACTGTTTCATTGTCCAAGCAAGCATACGTGTGAATTTGTAATCACATTGACACCAGGAGTCCTCCAAGAATGTCAAAATAAAAATTAACTTAATGTATAAATAACAGGTTTGTTCCAAGTGAAAGACAAATGATTTAATGGATGCTTTGGAAAGGGTAGTTTTTATATAGAAAAAATAATGAGAACATGAGTGGTTTTATGGCTCAGTGATATGGCAGGAATGATTCAAAAGATTTTACACAGTGGCCTTCAGCATGACATTCACATTGAAAACATAAATTGAGTTTTAGTAAAGTAACACCATCCGTCTCACTAAATTAGTATTGTTGATGAAATGTTATTGGTTTTGGTAGTTTTGTTTGGATTTAATTGGCAAATTTGATTTGGTTTTATAGTTTTATAAGTGCAATAAACTTCACGTATGTGTACATAATTTTGGGTTTGCACATATTTAAGTACCCTTTGTATTATGCTGTAACATAGGATTGAATATCAGTGCTGAGGAATTTGACAATTATTTTAAAAAGGGATGTGCAATGCTATTTAGTTTTGAAAAACTGTGGCTCAGCCTTGAATGTTGGTCATTTGTTCATAGAAACACATCCTTTTTTCAACATTGGTGTCAGTTCTTAGAGATCAGAGATTATGTCTATTTTCCATATCTCTCAAAGCAGCTAACTGAGTGTCTTACACATACCATAGCTTAATAAAATGTGTGGATGATTCCGATTGTTCTGATGTACGCTTTCTGAAAGCTAAAACTCTCAGAACCCCTGTTTTTTATATGTAACAACATGAGACTGATCCATTAATATCTGGGTTTTAAGTTTTCTGTCTACTTCATTCTAAACAGTTTTTAGGAAAAGCAGATTACATGCATGCTAAGGATAAATCTGATTTTGAGAACTATTTTATGCAAAGTTAAAGACCTATCTAGTGATTGTACCTTGTTGGAAGGAAGCATGGGTCCACACGTTCTGTGTTTCAAAGGGGGCGTTAAGTTATGAGGCTCCATGCTACTGACAATGAGATATGGCTACATAACTGTAGTTTCTCTTGTGTCTTTTTCTTTGTTGAAGGGAATGAGGCATTCTTTTTTTCCTGGAGACAGGCAAAAATGGAAAGTGGTTGTATTTTCTTTTCTCCTTGTAAGTTTCCCAAAAGAGCCAATTGTCAGATCAATAGAGAAAGCAAATATACTCTTATAACTTGTAAGTGTAGTTAGGAAGATAAAATTAATCTCAGCCAAGAACAATATGATTATGTAAAACTTAGACACAAAACCAGAAACTTCAGCAAAAGACTTGGGAGATACAGACTCACCAACATCTCAGCAGTTACCATACTCTGACATATGGGCTGTTTTTGAAATATGTATATTCTTTACCATATTACTCAAAATTCCTGATTTAATTATCAAAAATGCCCAAGCTGGTTAATCCAGATGGTGGTTTTTCTTTCATTTGGACTTAATTCTTTTTCTTTTAATTTTTTATTTCCATAGGTTTTTGGGAAACAGGCAGTATTTGGTTACATGAGTAATTTCTTTCGTGGTGGTTTGTGAGACTTTGGTGCACCCATCACCGGAGCAGTGTACACTGAACCCAATTTGTAGTCTTTTATTCCTCATCATTTAGACTAATATCAGAGAGCTCTGAGTTAGAATCACAGGTCGGTGAACTATAAGTATGTTACCTTGGGCAAATTCCTAAACCTTTTTTAAGATCAGTTTCTTCTGGGCTTGGTGTCTCACGCCTGTAATCCCAGCACTTTGGGAGGCCAAGGTGGGTGGATCACGAGGTCAAGAGATCGAGACCACCCTGGCTAACGCAGTGAAACCCAGTCTCTTTTGTACGAAAAATAAAAAAAACTAGCTGGGCGTGCTGGCACGTGCTGGTAGTCCCAGCTACTCGGGAGGCTGAAGCAGGAGAATCGCTTGAACCCGGGAGGTGAAGGTTGCAGTGAGCTGAGATCGTGCCACTGCACTCCAGCCTTGGCAACAGAGCGAGACTCCATCTCAAAAAAAAAAAAAATCCATTTCTCCATCTGTAAGACAAAGGCATTGATTTTCACATATATTATATGGATTGTAAGTTCTATATGTGAAGAACTTAGCTTTAGATTAGTAACCCAAGAAATGGAAGCTTTTGAAATTGGGAGGAATAGAGACTCACTGCTCCTTGAGTTCTAAGAGTGGTTCTCAATTCTGGTCAATCATTAAAATTATCATGTGAAGTTGGAAACACAAATGACAGTAGGTTCCCTCCTCATACAGAGGATCTGAGGTAGTGCTCAGGAGTATGTATTTTGAAAAAGCCATTCATCATGTTCAAGATTCACTGTCCTTGCTGGTAGGGCCAATGTGCTGCCTATATTTGGGAGCCTTAATCCCTAGAAAAGGATCTGGGATAAAGAGATTGCTCAGTGAAAGTGTGTTAAATAAATTTTAAACAAATCTCCTGTATTACCTAATGAGCAGTGGCGTTGATTCTGGTGTTATTCAAACTGACCATTCAGAAGATGGATTATTGCAGTAATTATGGCTGGTCCAATTAGAGAAAAGCAACATTTTAAAGCAGTTTAAACTAAAATAGATTTGGCCATACTATATAGCATGACACAGTGTAAACTTCTTTTGTTAGATACTTAAAACAGACCTATTACGAGGTGTTTCATGATTGTCATTTACATTTGTGCAGGGCAAGGATTGTGATGACGTTTTTGCTATTCCAGTGCAGAAAGCATTTCATGTAAAACCTGGGGTTGATGACATGAGGTAATGTTCTTATCTCCCCCTTCCATTTCTTCTTCCCACATTGCATGGTGTGCAAGCTTTGAATAATGAATAGTAACTTGTAGTAGCAATACTCTAAAGCATTTGTAAACTGATGTTGAAAATGGCTGGGCTTAACAATTCAGGGGTTTCCAGAGTACCTGAGAACTGCAGCATTGACGTTTAAATCCTCTATCTAGTAGCTAATTTTATCCTCTATGGAAATTTTAGATATTTCAGCCAAAATTCTGTCCTTGTAGGGGAGTGAGAAATTTAAGAATAAATAATCAAGTGTTAAAAAGAGTAGAAAAATAAAAGAAAGTAGAAATTAATATTTATGTGCTCTCTAGAGGAGAATTTTTAGCTTTCAAGCAATGAAAGAACTCACACAGATTTGACTATAAAATATAAGCAAATAAATCTAAATTAAAAGCCAAAAAGCAAACTGGGGAAAATATTCACAGACTATATTGCAAAAAGGGTGAATATTTTAGATTTATAAAGATTATACAAATTGCTGTGAGACCTTCTATAATTAAACAAGCAAATGATACTCTCAATTCATAAAAGAAGAAAATTTGACAGGTTAATATGTATTATATCAAAAAATAAAAATACAAATTAAATATGAGATTCAATTTTCTTATATGACATTAACAAAACATAAAATTAAAAAAATGGTAAGACCCTCTGAAGGAGGGAAATGGACATATATAGTGCTTGTGAGAGGATTAATTTATACAAGTGTTACCTAGAAAAAAGTTTGTCAATGTTTATCAAGAAATGTAAAAAAGATCAGACCCACTGACCTAATAGTCCCACTTGTGAAAGTGATCATAGTGAAAGGAGGAGGAGGAGAAGGAGGGAGAAAGAAAAATAAAGACAAAAACAAGAAATCAAACTCATAGATTTAAGAGAATATATGTTAATTGCAATACAACTTATTGTATGAATATTTGAAAACAAGTTAAAAGTCCAAAAATGGGGAATGTTAGGTTAATTTTGATTCATTGATCCAATGAAATATTATGTGGCTGTTAAAAATGCAATAACTTATAATAACGTAAACCATTACACTCTTATAGGAAACACAATACAAACTTGTATACAGAATGATTATACTTATGATTAAATTTGTCTACCCCCAAAAAGTGCAAAAGAAAGGCAAAAATCTTTGTATAGAAGAGTTACACAAATATGTTATCTCATGAGTTGGTTTTCAGTTGAGTGATTTTTTGCCAGATTTTTTCTAGTATCTCCTTTGATGTATTATTTGCATTGCATCTAATTACCATGTATAATGGAAAAATAACTTTTTTGAAGGACTGCCCACTAGCCCTTGCTATCCCTATAGTCGGAATCCATCCTTCTACTTTCATAGGTTTGAGAGATACCAGATGGACACTTAGTCTTTTCGTGGAAAGTACTGTAGAGATTCAAAGATCCTTAGAAGAACTTCCAGCTCATCTTCATTGAAAAATAAAAAGATACATTATTGGGTTGAGAACAAATGATTATAGTGACATTGGCTAGAAAATATAGGAGAATATAGAAATTAATATTTAGTTCTCTGGAATAAATTCTCTAGGTTTTCAAGCAACAGAAATTTTTAAAAGAATTGGCTTAAAATATTTGAAAACCTGTAGGTAGGGAGATATAACCAAAATTAAAAGATAACACATAGAAAATATTACAGAGTGAATGTGAGTCTCCCTATAGTTGGTTTTTCCTAATATTATTTCACTTACTTGCTTTTGGGTAGAATTCCTCTGGGAGGGATTGGGATGGAGCCTGAGTATAGTTTACCTTCTCAGAGAACATTCAGACACCGTACCTATTGCCCTTTTATGTAAGTTCCCAACATGTCTGCCCAGGTTTTGAATGAAGTTGGCTGTTTTTTCTCGAAGCCAAGCCTCCAGATTGCTCCTGGATAGAACATTGTATGATTATGATAATATGCATATACACTACTATTATATTAATATTAATGTAATATTAATGTTACATATATAAAAAATGGAATTCAGTTTATGTAGGACTTGGAAAACACCTTTGAGAATGGTCTTTTTGTTGGCAAGCCTGTAATGTTCTTTTGCCTTAGATTTTTAGGATAGTATAATTATGGACCAACAAAAGAAGTGAAAAACATAGAGGTTAAATTTATTTATTTTTGATCTTTTTTATTTCAAATAGCTTTAATGATGCAAGTGGTTTTTGGTTACATGGATAAATTGTATAGTGGGGATGTCTGGGATTTTAGTACACCCATCACCCAAATAGTGTACGTTGTATCCAATAGATAGTTTTTCATCTTTCACCCCACTTCCAACCTCCTACCTTCTGAGTCTCCAGTGTCCATTATACCACTCTATGCCTTCGTGTACCCATGGCTTAGCTCGCACTTATAAATGAGAACATGTGGTATTTGGGTTTTTTTGATTATTATTAATTATTATTTTGAGACAGAGTCTCACTCTGTTGCCCATGCTGGAGTGCAGTGGTACAATCTCAGCTCACTGCAACCTCTGCCTCCTGGGTTTAAGCAATTCTCTTGCCTCAGCCTCCCAAGTAGCTGGGAGTGCAGGTGCTCACCACCACGCCCGGCTAATTTTTGTATTTTTAGTAGAGATGGGGTTTCGCCATGTTGGCCAGGCTGGTCTCGAACTCCTGACCTCAGGGAATCTGCCCACCTCGGCTTCCCAAAGTGCTAGCATTACAGGTGTGAGCCACCACAATTCCAGGGTTACTTTGCTTAGGATAGTGGCCTCCCGTTCCATCCAAGTTGCTGCAAAGACATTATTTGATTCTTTTTTATGGCTGAGTTGTATTCCCTGGTATACATGCACCACATTTCCTTTATACATTCATTGTCTGATGGGCATTTATGTGGATTCCACATCTTTGCAATTGTGAAGTGTGCTATGATAAACATGTGCAGGTGTCTTTTTATATAGTGACTTATTTTCTTTTGTGTAGATACCCAGTAGTGAGACTGCTGGATCAAACAATACTTTTAGTTACTTTTATGCTACTTTTAGTTCTTTGAGAAATCTCCATACTGTTTTCCATAAAGACTGTACTAGTTTACATTTCCACCAGCAGAGTATAAGCATTCCTTTTTCACCACATCCATGCCAACATCTATTGTTTTTTCACTTTTTAATAATGGCCATTCTGGCTGGGGTAAGGTGGTATCTCATTATGGTTTTAATTTACATTTCTCTGATGATTAGTAATGTTGAACTTTTTTTCATATGTTTGTTGGTCATTTGTGTATCTTCTTTTGAGAAATACCTATTCATATTGTTTTATTTTTTGCTGATTTGAGTTCCTTGTAGACCTGGATGTTAGTTTTTTGTTGAATTGAATGCACAATTTTACAATATTTTCTCCCATTCTGTAGGTTGTCTGTTTACTCTGATGATTAGTTCCTCTTCTGTGCAGAAGCTTTTTAGTTTAGGTGCCATTTATTTATGTTAGTTTTTGTTGTATTTGCTTATGGGGTCTTAGTCATAAATTATTTGCCTAGGCCAATGACCAGACGAGTTTTTCCTAGGTTTTCTTCTAGGATTTTTATGGTTTTAGGTCTCAGATTTAAGTCTTTAACCTATCTTGAGTTAATTTTTGTATACGGTGAGAGGTAGGGATCCAGTTTCATTCTTTTATATGTGGCTATGCAATTTTCTCAGCACCATTTATTGAATGGGATGTCCTTTCCCCAATTTATGTTTTTGTATGCTTTGTCAAAGATCAGTTGCTTATATTTAGCTTTATTTCTGGGTTCTCTAGTCTGTTTCATTGGTCTATATATTTACTTCTATGCCAGTACCATGATGTTTTGGTTACTATAGCATCACAGTATAATTTGAAGTCAAGTAATGTGATGCCTCCAGATTTATTCTTTTTGCTTAGCATTTCTTTGGCTATTCAGGCTTTCTTTTGGTTTCATATAAATGTTTGGATTTTTTTTCTAATTCTGTGAATACTTAAGTTGGCATTTTGATGGGAGTTGCATTGAATCTGTAGATTGCTTTGGTCATTTTCCCAATATTGATTCCTCCAATTCATGAACATGGGATGTGTTTCCATTTGTTTGTGTCATCTATGATTTCCTTCAATAGTAGTGTTTTGTAGTTTAACTTGTAGAGATCTTTCGCCTCCTTGGTTAAGTATGTCCCCAGGTATTTTACTTTATTTTATTTTTTAGCTATTCTAAAAGGAATTAAGTTCTTGATTTGATTCTCAGCTTTGTCATTGTTGGTGTATGTAAGTGCTACTGATTTGTGTACATTGATTTTGTAACCTGAGACTTTGCTGAATTCATTTATCAGATCTAGGAGTCTTTTGTAGGCTTAGGGTTTTCTACGTATACAATCATATCATCAGCATACATAGAGAGTTTGACTTCCTCTTTTCCAAACTGGATGCCCTTTATTTCTTTCTCTTGCCTGATTACTCTGGCTAGGACTTCCAAGGTTATATTTAGTTTAATAATATTATTTTGCAGATTGAGAAATCGAAAAGTTAGATAAATGAATGATGCACACAAACACTGGAACAGAAAGACATAGCTATACCTAGAAGCTGAATCTCTGACCTCCCAGATGTATGCTTTTTAATTTGGTTATTTTTTATTCTTATGAAGAAAAAAAATAAAATTGATTGCATTTCTTTTAACATTTCCCCTACCCAAATTGGTATCTGCTGCAGTAGATACCTGAGCCAGTAGTTGCTAATGTTCCATACAAGAGCACGTTTTGGAAGAGAGATTAACAAATATTTGACAATGATCAACCTGTATCTTTTGGAATATGCACAAAAATAGCTAACAAAGTTTAAGAGTTAATGATTATGCCTTTATCGTTCATTTATTGTGCCTATATTTTTGAGTGCCATGTGCTGAATAAATGTTTCTTAGACAATACAGGATTAATGTGAACATAATGCTGGCACTAATCCTGACTTCTGTGTAAGTGGTTTTGTTTTCAGTAATATATTCAAACAATATTCCTCACAGTTTGGCATATATAACCCTGGTGTTGTGTAAGATAGTTTCAGGTAGCACTTTTTAATTTTTATAGTAATGTATTTACTTTATTATGTATGACATTATAACTAGCATATTGAGCCTTATTTCATGGGTAGTGTTGCCTAGGATATACAGTAATATTTTAAATAATTTACATTACAAGTAGACATGATGAAAATTGGAAAGTGATATGAGAATGACTTCAGTTTTGGAAACAATAATTTAAGAAGTTCCTGCACTGCAGGAATAATAATTTGCAGAGGGTACAGAAATATTTTGGAAGATATCTGCTTGCAGGTTTAGAATTTAATTCTAGGCCAGCATGAAGCAACACATTCATTAAATAGTCTTTGAAGCATTGGTCATCTTAATGGCTAAAGAAATATAAACCCTGACTCAGTCCTCAACCATTGAGGAGGTGGACAAAGCCAAAATGTCTGTCATATTGTGTTGATGGGACTTGCCATAGCAACAGAGCTAAATTTTTTCCTAATTTACTCATTAGAAATGACACTTTGTTTTTTGGTTTGTGTTCTGGACATTCTATGTGTGCAATTAAAATATGCAAAGGAACTACAATGTAATAGTATTCTCGTTCTTGATACTTTACTCTCAAACATCTCTGTTTTAAAATTGTTATCTCATTAATCTTCCCAGAACTCTTCCAAAAGTAGATGTATGTATGTGGCACTGGTATTCTGCAAAGAGACCTGGAAGGACTCATGAGCTGTCTTTCAAGGGATTCATGAGTATAGATGAGAAAGGCAATCTTGTAATTGAACCCACATATTCAGATCAATGTCTGTTGATGCTGAATTCACACAGAAGTCAGGGTAGAGGGATTGGTTAAGTCAACGTGTCAAAGAAACAGCCACATATCCTGAGATTCTGATAGTTCACGTTCTCATGGACACAAGGGAAAACTTTAGAGTAGTTTAGGGGTATACTTTGACCCTAATGACTAAAAAATCTTAATGACAATTATACAGTGACTTCTAGAATAAAGAGTGCCATGGTTGTTGACATTACTAAGTAAACATAAAATAGATTCTTTATTTATTTATTTATTTTTTGAGATGGAGTGTCACTCTGTTGCCCAGGCTGGAGTGCAGTGGTGCGTTCTCAGCGCTCTACCTCCTGGGTTCACACCATTCTCCTGCCTCAGCCTCCCGAGTAGCTGGGACTACAGGCACCTGCCACCATGCCTGGCTAATTTTTTTGTATTTTTAGTAGAGACAAGGTTTCATCATGTTAGCTAGGATGGTCTCGATCTCCTGACCTCGTGATCTGCCCGCCTTGGTCTCCCAAAGTGCTGTGATTACAGGCATGAGCCACCATGCCCGGCCATAGATTCTTAAGCATTGAGATGGGAGGGAGTTTTGGTAGGCACTATGATTGAAAGTTTTGTTTTTATTTGATTTCCAAGCTGTCACAAATATGTATAGATGGTGAAGGGGGGTGTATAGAACTCTAAGGTAGTTAATATTTCATAGCAATGAGATCGTCCTTTCAGGAATATTTATTGAGAACGTTCTTTTGCTTTATGATCAATCATGCTGCTTTTATTGTGGCTTTTATCAAGACACTGTTCTGGAATAAATACTGAGTATGGAATACATTCTACTGGCAGTCAGTTTGGTACCTTGTTTGGGAGATTCATTTACTACTCTATTTAAGTGTTTACCTAAAGATCATGTTGCCTCACATTCATTTGTAGATATTTAAAGAAATTTCAGGTGAACAGCCTGAATTTAGCTTGTGAACTAAAATTTTCCATTTCTTTTAACTGCATTGTAATCACTACTTTTATTTGTGAATAGTTTTAATACAATTCATAACTGCTTACTTTCTTTTAATCTTTGGCACTCACTTTCTTGGGAGATTAATTCCATACTTCATGAAATAAAATAACTGTTAAAATTTAGATGTCTTGGCCAGGCGTGGTGGCTCATGCCTGTAATCCCAGCACTTTGGGAGGCCAAGGTGAGTCAATCACTTGAAGTCAGGAGTTCGAGACTAGCCTGACCAACACTGAAACCCTATCTCTACTAAAAATACAAAAATTAGCTGGGCATGGTGGCACGTGCTTGTAGTCCCAGCTACTAAGGAGGCTGAGGCAGGAAAATCGCTTGAACCCGGGTGGTGGAGGTTGTAGTGAGCTGAGATCATGTGACAGCACTCCAGTCTGGGCAACAGAGCAAGACTCTGTCTCGAAAAAAAAAAAATCAGATGTCTTAATACTTAACAGGGAGGATTTTTATCTCAGGACCACCACAGTCAAATATATACATTTTTTTCTTCTGGAGAGCCAGAGAACTTTGAATTGTTTTTGAACTCAGACCTACACAGTCTAAGGTCCACCATTGATTGCAACTTCCTATCATAGCTGACCCGTTACAACCGCACGTATGTTCATCCCAGTTCAATGCAGTTCCCACATACTCATTGAGATCTGTCATAAAGAAGTTGCCTTGCTAGATTATTTTATAGGGGTACAATATGGAAAATACCATCTAAACTTGAAAGATACAGTCCTTCCTTCAAGAAGTTTACAGTCTATCAGACCAGACATTCTGTTATTCATTAATGCATTCATTAATTTTTTAAAAAATTGTGTATCAGCCATGTGTCTGTGCTAAGTTTGTTTTTGCTTTTGTGAAGCATAATTTTTCTTTCTCCCTGGACTTAAGCCTCAGGAAAATAAGATATGGATACCACTTACTAAAGTACAGGGTCTGACTACATAAATGCTGTGGAATTGGCTGAATGAATTATAGCATTACAGAGAAGAGAAATAGGATTTCAAACTTGGGAAGGAAGAAAAAAAAATCCATGAAGTTGGTAGCATTTGAGTTAAGTCTTTAACCCACGAATAGAAAAGACTCTTAAAAACAAAGGTAGGAGTAGGAGGGAGACACCAGGCTTTGGAGAATGGGGAGAGTAAGATCAGGCTGTAGGAAGTATGATCAGGTATAGAGGAAAGGAGGGCTAGTTTATTAAAGCTTTCATTGTCATCCTAGAGAACTTGACCTTTATTCTATAGGAAACTACTAAATGGCAATATCAGTGTTTCTATCCCAGAGACTTTAAACAGATTTTTCCCCAACCGCCTTTCTCACTTTCGATCCTCTTTTCTCCTTTACCTGCCATAAGTTCATTTATATTAAAATGCAGTTGAGAACTATGAGATGCCTGCATTTTTATTCCATGAGGAGGACACATTGGCACAGGTGTTCTTCGGAGAGCTGCACACAGCTAAGTGTGTTGCAGAGGTGATATGATTAAAGTATTAACTACTGTGGTATCCAACCATTCTGCCCTTCACTGTCAAAAGCAATTAATGTGGATTACATATATTTGAAAGAAGAATTTATTTCATTTCAAACTTTGGAGAACCTCCAGAGGGGATTAGGTAGGAAAATGAATGGTCTCATCTTCATAAATTAAGGAAATCTGAATAATATTTTGTTTTTGGAAAAGCTTGCTCAGACTCTTCCCAATACATTGGTGCCATATGGCACCAATCAGCTAAACATGACCAGGAAGTGAGAATTCCATATGAGACAGTAGTCATAGGAGCAAAAGACCCCATTGTCCTGTTTCATGTGCTTTGACGCAAAACAAAAAACAAAACAACTAATTTTTAGATATGGCTGTCTGGTGGATAGAAAAGAATATACTCTCTAGGGGTCCAGGGATATACATAAACCTTAGACTACCCTTGCTAGAGACATGCACTAAAGATAGAATGATAGGAACAGATTCAACTTACAAATTTAGAGATTTGGGTGGGACAAATAAAGGCTTTTCCTCAAGTCACTCTCTTCTCTTTGAAGGCTGATATGGTTTGGCTGTGTCCCCACCCAAATCTCATCTTGAATTGTAACTCCCACAATTCCCAAATGTCATGGGAGGAAGCCAGTGAGAGGTGACTGAATTATTGGGGTGGGTCTTTCCTATGCTGTTCTCATGGCAGTGATTGAGTCTCACAAGATCTGATGGTTTTTGAAATGGGAGTTTCCCTGCAGAAGCTCTCTCTTTGCCTGCTGCCATCCATGTAAGATGTGACTTGCTCCTCCTTGCCTTCTGCCATGATTGTGAGGCCTCCAGCCATGTGAAACTATAAGGCCAATAAACCTCCTTTTGTAAATTGCCCAGTCTTGGGTATGTCTTTATCAGCAGTGTGAAAACGGACTAATACTGTAAATTGGTACCAGTAGAGTGGGGCATTGCTGAAAATATACCCAAAAATGTGGAAGTGACTGACTTTGGAACTGGGTAACAGGCAGAGGTTGGAAGAATTTGGAGGGCTCAGAAGAAGACAGGAAAGTGTGGGAAAGTTTGGAACTTCCTAGAAACTTATTGAATGGCTTTGTCAAAAATGCTGATAGTGATATGAACAACAAAGTCCAGGCTGAGGTGGTTTCAGATGGAGATGAGAAACTTTTTGGGAACTGAAGCAATGGTGACTCTTTTTTTATTTTAGCAAAGAGACTGGTGGCATTTTCCCCTGCCCCAGAGATTTGTGAAACTTTTAACTTGAGAGAGATGATTTAGATATCTGGTGGAAGAAATTTCTAAGCAGCAAAACATTCAAGAGGTTACTTCGGTGCTGTTAAAGGCATTCAGTGTTAAAAGGGAAACAGCACAAAAGTTTGGAAAATTTGCAGATTGACAATGCAATAGAAAAGAAAATTCAAGCCAGCTGCAGAAATTACCACAAGTAATGAGAATCTGAGGAGCCAAATGTTAATCCCCAAGACATGGGGAAAGTGTCTCCAGGGCATGTCAAAGGTTTTCATGGCAGTCCCTCCCATCACAGGCCCAGAGACCTAGGAGGAAAACCGTGATTTCATGGCCGGGCCCAGGTTCCCCATGCTGTGTGCAGTCTAGGGACTTGGTGCCCTGTGTCCCAGCTGTTCCAGCCATGACTAAAAGGGGCCAAGGTACAGCTCAGGCCGTGGCTTCAGAGGATGCAAGCCCCAAGCCTTGGCAGCTTCCACATGGTGTTGAGCCTGCAGGTGCACAGAAGACAAAGAATTGAGGTTTGGGAACCTCTGCCTATATTTCAGTGGATGTGTGGAAATGCCTCAATGTCCAAGCAGAAGTTTGCTGCAAAGGCAGGGCCCTCATGGAGAATCTCTGCTAGGGCAGTGTGGAAGGGAAATGTGGGTTTGGAGCTCCCACACAGAGTCCCTCCTGGGGCACTGCCTAGTGGAGCTGTGAGAAGAAGACCACTGTCCTCCAGACCCCAGAATGATAGATCCACCAACAGCTTGCATCATGTGACTGGAAAAGCTGCAGACAACACCATCCCATCAAAGCAGCTGGGAGGGAGGCTGTACCCTGCAAAGCCACAGAGTCAGAGCTGCTCAAGACCATGGGAACCCACCTCTTGCATCAGTGTGACCTGGATGCAAGACATGGAGTCAAAAGAGGTCATTCTCACTGGAGCTTTAAGATTTGACTGCCCTGCTGGATTTCAGACTTGCATGGGGCCTGCAGCCCCTGTATTTTGGCCAGTTTCTCCCATTTGGAATGGCTGTATTTCCCCAATGCCTGTACCCCCATTGTAACTAGGAAGTAATTAACTTGCTTTTGATTTTACAGGCTCATAGGCAGAAGGGACTTGCCTTGTCTCAGATGAGATGTTGGACTGTGCACTTTTGAGTTAATGCTGAGATGAGTTAAGACTTTAGGGGACTGTTGGGAAGGCATGATTGGTTTTGAAATGTAAGGACATGAGATTTGGGAGGGGCCGGGACAGAATGATATGGTTTGGCTGTGTCCCCACCCAAATCTCATCTTGAGTTTTAACTCCCACAATTCCCACATGTGGGAGAAACTCTATGGGAAGTGATTGAATTATGGAAGTGGATCCTTCATGCACTGTTGTGTGATAATGAATGAGTCTCACAAGATCTGATAGTTTTATAAGGGGGAGTTTCCCTGCTCAAGCTCTCTCTTTGCCTGCTGCCATCCACATAAGATATGACTTGCTTCTCCTTGCCTTATGCCATAATTATGAGGCCTCCTCAGCCATGTGGAACTATAAGTCCAATAAACCTCTTTCTTTTGTAAATTTCCCAGTCTCAGGTATGTCTTTATCAGCAGCATGAAAATGGACTAATACAAAGGCTTAGAAGCATCATTCAGCCAGAAGCTGGGAACAGACCAACAGATTTCAAGGGAAACACTGTTTAGTCTAACATAATAGTCTTAAGGAACAAAGGTAGAACAATGACCCATTGTAAATAAATCCACTTGCTTGACTACATTCAACTTTTCTAAAAGACATGTTCACAATTGCCTTTCAAAATGTTAACTAATAACCAATGACAATCATGAAGTCACTTCTGTGATATTGGAATTCCCGTCACAATTAGTAACACATTTGGACCTTAGTCAAAGTAATTCTAGATTTACTACTTGTAAGGACGCTTCCCCAAGAATCACTAGTGACAGTCCTATTTCTCTGGTTTCTGAGCTCTACTGGAAATACAAGACAAGCCTTTCCTGAACTGATCCAAAAGTTTCACTCTGTGGCATTTTCAGGTTGTAGAGCTTTAGCATGGTGAATTGGAGATGGAGTTGGCAAGCAACAACCTTTGGACTCTCACAGGCTGACAGGAGCTGTAGTGTAGAAATAGTAGCTGCAAGAGCGGACCCCAGTCTGAAATCAGGAATGAGGATTCAGTGAGTTAAATAAGAAGATACATGGATCATTTCTAAATGATGTCCAGGCCGTCCTCAGCTTTATTCATCAACATACTGGGTTACACTGACAGATTTGTAAACGTCTCAGATAAGAAAAGATATTAATTTTTAATGGTAACAAATGAAAACAGAAAAAGAAGGGGTTGAACATTCTCAGATGATCTTAATTTGGTTTGACCTACCTAAATTCGACTTCGATTTATGCTAATAACACTGATACACAACATAAGCCTTTTTTTTAGTAGCTTACAATCTAGATGAGAAGACAAGATTTATCTCTGGGTGAGTAGCAGACAGATTTAAAAGGTATATATGTATGTTACTGCTATGTGGGCACATATGTGTGTATATAATGGATGTAATCCATGTTTAATGATAATTCTGTTTGCTAGGACAATTTTCTCATATAGACTGTATTCTTTTTGTGGATGGTGCCCATGTATTTTCATCTTTTTGTGTTTCTGCCTGAAAGGTAGTGACATCCCACACAGCTTCCTGTTTCTGTTCCTGAGACCCAAGTTTCTACTGCAACCCTCCCTCTCAAACCTTTCTCTTTTGCCTTTTGAATATTTATCTTCTATGGTAAACAGACTCCTTTGCATCCTCTTCTCTTCCAAACACATTCACTCTACCCTGTTGTCTCCACTGAATCCTGTTTCTCTGTGGCCCACATAAGCATAGCAGCTAATTTTTCCCAAACCAGGAGATCTCTGGGGAAGAAAGTGGTTGACTTCTAGCCTTAACATGCCTGTTACAAACCATTATGTCTCCAACCCCTGGAAAAGCGTTGGGCTTCTGAGGCCCGTTGTTTCTGGCTATTCTATGCTGGTCCTCACATTGGCCCAGTTGTCTAATAACTCTCTATTTTGGTCCCCAAATCACTAAATACCTGTAAAACTCACCCACAACATTTCTCTCCACTGTGGGATGTCATCCAGGATTTTAGTATGTGTGTCAATGACTCAATTCACACCCTTGCCTTTCTCAGTTCCTTGACTTTATTCCACTTATGTCACCAATTTGCATGGGTCGACCTGAACCTTTATATCACCTCTAACTGTCCTACCTCTTAAATCCACAATGCCAACATTTGACTACTTTTTGACCATACAGACCAGTTCTGGTCATGTTTGATTCCTTTTCCCCTTCTTTCCATGCCTCATAGGGACTAACATCCATCTTCTTGTCAGCCCTATCCCATTTCCAAGCCAATCATATTAAGGTCAGATTCAGTTGCCAATTGGTTATATGAGTTTGGTCCATATATTTAACTTCCCAAGTCTTTGTTTCTTGGTCTCAAAAATCTCAGACTGACTTCCCTCCCCTCCCCTCTTTTCTCTTTCTTTCTTTCTTTTTTTTTTTTTTGGACAGAGTCTCACTCTGTCACCCAGGCTGGAGTGCAGTGGTGTGATCTTGGGTCACTGCAACCATATTTGCCTCCCGGGTTCAAGTGATTCTTGTGCCTCAGCCTCCCAAGTAGCTGGGATTACAGACATGTGCCACCACAACAGTTAATTTTTGTAATTTTACTAGAGACAGGGAGTTGCCATGTTGGCTAGGCTGGTCTCATACTCCTGGCCTCAAGTGGTCAGCCCGCCTCGGCCTTCCAAAGTGCTGGGATTACAGGAGTGACCTACCATGCCCAGCCTTCAGATTGACTTTTGTATAACCTCTGGCTCTCTGGCCATCAGCAAGCATTATAGGCGAGCAACAATATTTTGGCATTGTTTCGTAAAGAGCTATAGGCCTATTATTTAACTTTGCTTTTGACTTATGTGAAGAAGTAACTAAATGCCATTAGCTTTAAACAGGGCATTTATTTACCTGATTTCATTATTGAAATCAGGCTCATAGAATGAGCCTCAATAATTTTCAGAAACACAGAAATGGAAATCTATGTGCTAAGGAGCCATGGATCATTCATGGTAGCAAAATCAGTGAGAGGATTTAAAGTCTTTGGTTAATGGTACAATGAGAAGAAATAGAGCCCAGTTCTCCAGGAAATGATTTAAGGATAGAGCCTCAAAGTGATTTTTAAAATATTTCTTTTCCACACAGCCTTTTTATGTGACCTCATTAAAATGTCTCAGCATTGTTTATTCAGCATACCATTTAATCAAAACCCTCTGCTAGATTCTTCCCCAGATTCATTTGTGACTCACATGAGCAAACATTCTGTAGGGTTATAATGAAGAGAAATGTAGGAGAATTATAGAAGCTTTCTTTTCTTTCTTGAACAGTAAATATTTTATTAATCCATCTCTGTTTCTCAAAATTGGTTTATCTTTGAATCATGTTGTACTTTTCTGCAGATAAAAGGCACTGTACATGTCTGAAAATCAGAAGCATTGGAAGGAGATTCAGAGTTATATTTCTTAATATTGCTCTTAACATCTCACATGTAAATTTCAAATCTAGGAAAAAGCAATCAAATACATCATTCCTAAATACTGGTTTTCTTGTTCACTTTGTTAAAAAAAAGGTCTTCATCTTGTAGAGGGTGTTTAAATATGGTCTTCTTTATTGTAGATTCAAGAAACTGATGGAAGATGAAGTAAGTCATTTATGTAGGGTGTCTTCATTTCACGGTTGACAAAACTGAAGCCCAGAGAGGTTAAAACAATAACTACTTTAAAATTTTATGTAGTAATTTTAATGTGGGCTTCATTTTTCTTTCTGTCTCATCCCCTAGATATTGTTGTCTCAATGTTAGGAATATATAGCAGGTATTATCATAATCATACTTAGGAATACATCCCAATTATGTCAAGAACTACAAACAGAATTTACATTTATCTGGTATTTATTGTTATTGTTTGACTTAGGAGTTACCAGAAAATAAATAAAGTGAAAAAATTCAGATGCTGATTTCTGCATAGATCTTCTGGCTAGACATACTGAAAGAAAGAAGTATGCCAACAGGATCTTTCATTCCATGTGCTCTTCCAGACCCTTACGATTCCTCCATCAAGAGGTAGACTCTAATTCCTCCTCCATTGAACCTGGGTGCACTTTTATGACTGTTTGAAACAATGCAACATCCTGGAAGTGATGCCATATGACTTCTGAGGCTAGATTGTAAAAGGTCATGCTATTTCTGCTGTCCTCACTGAATACTTGCTCTTGAAGCCTGCAGCCATGTTAGCAGCCCGGCTGCCCTGGAGAAACCAAAACTAGCCTACATGGAGAGGCCACACAGAGAGGTCCTGCAACTGCAGTCCCCACCTGCTCCACCTTCCTGCTCTTCCAAAGCCAGACCCTGTTTTACAGTAAGTGCAGGAGAGATCTCAAACCACAGACATAGAGCCAAGCACTTCCTGGATCCTTGGCCCATAAAAACTGTGAGATATAGTTATGCAGCTAGATTTTGTGGGCATTTGTTATGTAGCAATATTAATAGACAGAATCTGTTTTCCGTAATCCTCTTCCCTTAACAGTCCCATTAATATTTGCCACCCGAGAGATTTGGAGGTAAATGCGAGGCAGTGTATTTTTTATTCTCAGAAGGTTGATGGATGGCATTTGGCACTGGGGCAGCTCATGCATGCTGTTGCTGACCTGATGACTCACCTTGCAGGCATGGAGCAGCACCTGGAGCTCCAGTGACTCCAGTTCTCACTGACTCCTCTTTCAGTTTTTCTAAGTCCTCAACCAATGTGCCTGCAATCCCAAGGCAAAGGATACCAGCTTATCCTGCATGTCATCCACAGAATCCAGGTTACAAGTGCTGAAAGATGTGTGTTCCGGTTTTCCTCAGAGGTTTCTATTTTCTTTGCAGGTTTTAGTTCATCTTTGTGAATTATAGTTTGTCTTTGCTGCTGTCCACACTCATCTTTTCTTCCCAACTGCTGGTTTGGCTGATCTATACCTACTTAGAATCAGTTCCAGATACATGGCCTCTTCCACCAGCTTCTGTATAGATTAAAGTATAATCCTCGTAATACCTCCTTACTCCATATCACTCACAGTGATTCCGCTTCTGTGATAAATCCTGATTGATGCAGAGGCACTTATGGGGGCATTGATGTGCTTAATGTGTTGGGCTTATAATGAGCAGTCTTGATTTAATCTTGGTTACATTTTCCTAGAAAGATCATTTGTCTTAGAAATCTGTGTAGCCTCCAGTTGCTCCAGTAATGTAAATGCCTGAAATCAGAATGGGAAAGCTGGAGGTGAAATTGGAAGTTTGGAAAGGCTCATGCAGAAACATGTATGAATTCTGTAAGTACCTAAACAGCAGAATTCGACTTGAGTGAGATGGGTTCTTGGCAAGAACATGCACTCATGATTTCATGAGTAAGAAGCTGAAGACACTCAAGTCCAACTGCTTTTCTTCAGGAAATCTTAAACCATTCATGTATTTCTCATTTCCATCCTGTCACCAGTCCATCTAGCCAACCATATTTACTGCTTGTCCATCTAGCCAACCATATTTATTGCTTATTACTCTGTTTATGACAACCTCTACTCAGATTTGAAATATTGGGTAAAAATTAAAATAAGTAGAAGTGGTATTACCTATGAATCAATAAATTGACTTTATTAAACTTTATGGGAATTACTGATTTAACTGCCATTAATTAGAGGCATAGTAGTAACTATCTGCACTGTAAATCTGTAATTTATGCTTAATAACAAGGGGAGGTAGAGCGGTAGTAAAATTGTCCAATCAAGTGTTTTTCAGAAACTATGGAATCTCTTGAACACTTTTGCTATTTTATGGTATGGGGAAAGCAATGATAGCTATGTTACTCTGCTACCTGGGTTGATTTTTGAGCTATTCTTTGCAGAAGAAGCTTTCCAGAGGCACATCCAATCTCTGTAGCTATGTATATGGCCATGGGGATGAAAGAGACCATTAAATAGGACCTCTTGTCCCTACTTTATATTTGAAACCACTAAGAAATAAGACAAAGCATAAGATAGATGGAGGCCAATGATCACTTCATTATCAATAATGCTAACCTATGAAGTTAACATCAGCAGAAAGATGTACCCACTGAGTCATGTGCAATTCTAAGCCAGAGCAGGCCCTCTATGTAAGACAGACTTACATGGAACTGGGAAACTTGATTTGCATGTGCTGTCTTGTTCCCAAGAGGTAAAGGAAGAGCTGATAAAGAAAGCATGGCTGTTCAGATAATGCACTCTAGCCCACCGAAGTGGAATAAGGAAAGATGTGGAAAGAGGCCAAGGCTATGGCACTAACTTAACTCCCTTCATAAAGAAGAAAACAAATGAATGGCAAAGAAGTGCTTACCCTGAATGGTGAAAATTAACAGCAAATACTTGTTTTTTAGGCATGGGACTTGAAATATCTTTTCCACAATTCTCTTCCACTGAATTATTTTCTTTACTCCATAAATCTTGTCACATGAAATATATGCTTTGCTGTTGCCCAGGCTGGAGCGCAAGTGGAGCAATCATGGTTTACTGTAGCCTCTAACTCCTGGGCTTAAGCGATCCTGCCCCTTCAGCCTCCCTTCTGAGTAGCTGGGATTACAGGTGTGTGCCACCGCACCAGGCTATTTTATTTATTTGAGACGGAGTCTCACTCTGTCACCCAGGCTGGAGTGCAGTGGCGCGATCTCGGCTCACTGCAAGCTCCGCCTCCTGGGTTCACGCCATTCTCCTGCCTCAGCCTCCCGAGTAGCTGGGACCACAGGCACCTGCCACCACGCCCGGCTAATTTTTTGTATTTTTAGTAGAGATGGAGTTTCACCATATTAGCCAGGATGGTCTCGATCTCCTGACCTCAGGATCCGCCCACCTCAGCCTCCCAAAGTGCTGGGATTACAGGCATGAGCCACCGTGCCCGGCCGCTATTTTTATTTTTATTTTTTTTTTGTAGAGATTGGGGGCTCTCACTATGTTGCTCAAAGGCTGATTTTTGAGGTAGGTTCAAGCAATCCTCATGCCCCCCAGAGTGCTGAATTACAGGTATAAGACACCCCCACCTAGCTGAAATTATTCTTAGTGAAATCACATTGACTCCTTAAATGCCAAATCTAGTATTTTCTTCTCAGTACTCATCCCACCTGTCTGCTTTGTGGCACTGAATAGCTTCCCTTCTAGGAACTCTCTTCATTGGCTTCCATGCCGCATTTCACTCCTAGTTTTTCTTCTGCTTCCTCAGGTGCTGCTTTTTCAATATCATTTCCTGAGGACTCAGAACAGGAATTCTTTCCTCATGTGTCTTTGAAGTCCTGTGTCTTGCATGGTGCCTAATACCTGATAGATGTAATTGCTTCGAAAGTCATTTCTCTGTCCTGTATCATGTTGGCCAAGGTCTATTTTGTGTTTTCTTCCTTTTTTTTTTTTTTTTTTTTCAGAATTCACCTTCCCATATGCTAAGGGAAAGGGACTTTTTTTTTCCACTTCCAGGGTTGGGTAATGATTTAAGCCAGTCATTGCGTTTTCCTTTTCACTAATTGACTTAAGCATGAAGAAAGCTTCTAGGGTATTTCTCGGTTGGATTTTCCAAACTAATAAGAAGAGGAAGTATATTAGTTTTCTAGGCCTGTTGTAATAAAGTACCACAAACTGGGTGGCTTAAGCAACAAAAATTTATTACAGTTATGGGGACCAGAGGTCCATAATCAATGTGTCGGTAGGGTTGGCTACTTCTGAGGGCTGTAAAGGAAGGAGCTCTTCCAAGTTTCTCTTAGCTTTTCGATGGCAATCTTAATGTTCACATGGTGTTTTCTCTATATGCCTGTTTCTGTGTCCAACAATCTCCTTTTTTATGATGACACCAGTAATATTGTATTAGGGTCCATTCTAATGACTTCATTTTAACTTGATTACTTTTTTAACGACCCTATGTTCAAATAAGGTCATATTTTGAGCTACTCTTGGTTAAGAATTTAAAATATAAATTTCAAGGGAACACAATTCATATGCTAATAATGAGAAAACAACTTTCTCTTTCAATATTACTGATGCCTGGAGCTATAGCAGCCACATTGTAACCATGAGGAGACAATGTGGTTACCAAGCCACTATACAGAAAGTGGTAGAATGGCAAGAGAACGTGATTTTTGTTTACATCTTTGATCATCATATTCTTTTAGAAAAACAAACTGGTCTTCAGTGCATATTCTGTTTGGACTAGAGCAAGCTGACACTGAGGGCAGACAGACCAGTTAGGTGAATATTCTAATAGTTCTATTCAAACAACTTGAACTCAACTGCTGAAAAGAAGCAACATAGGCAAGAGGCATCAATGAATAAATTTTCTTATAGGAAGAAAGATGGTATCTAGGGCTGTGCTTGGGACATATTCTTAGTGCTGTCTGTTCCAGGACTGTCAGTGCTGGTGGCTGCTTGGATTGCAGGCAGTTTAAGAAAGCATTTGAAAAGAAAGAGCCAGCTGTTCTTATAAACATTTTATGAATACGAAGGACTTACAAGTTGGACTTTTGCTTCTTCCCAGTGGTATGATTCTAGATATAACCAGATAGTCTAAAAATAGCAATTCAATAGCTGCTTTAAATCAGTTTGGGCAATTCCCGAAACTGTGATTCACAGAATGTTAATTCTGTGAGTTGTTAATAGATATGATGAAAATCAAAGAAAGGAAAGAGATGTTCTACACCCAAATGATTCAGAAATTTGGATTAATGTCCATATTACAGGACTTCTCAGAGCCTTTAGTATTCTAGTGTAAAGTGTGAATCTTTAAGATAGGAATTTAGTAAGCAATATTTATAAAACATAAAATTTATGATGCATCAATTGAAACTTTTTTTCACAGAGCATGTCACAAGATTGGTCTGAGGAACACACTTGGGACATGCTGCTTTAAACAATGATTTTACTCTAGGTTTCATTTCTTTTTCTTCTGGGACATCATACCCTGGCTATTCAGCCTTAGTGTAAAGGGCTCATTGCAGATGAGATTGCCAATTCCCTGGTGACCTGTGAGCCTTTATGCAGTCATATTGACATTCCCATTTAAAACACTGAGGCTGGAAGAGATGAGACATACTACTGTGTGAATAGAGCTGTTCCCAAGAGACAGGAGGGAGGAAAGGAAATCTATGAGCTTGCTTCATCTCAGGTAACGTGCCAAATATTCAGCTAGACCTGTTGGGCACTGAGAGCCATGCTTACAGCTGAATCCACCAAATAAAAGGCATTTGCTACTGGCACCTCAGAGGAAAGAATTTTCAGGTGAGAAAATGCAACCGCTTATTCCCTAGGGGGAGAGATTTTGTAGATTAATTTCCCCAGACGTGTTGTTCATTATTGCAAGTCCTCAGGCAGTGGTGAAATCTGAGTTCTGCAGTAAGATTATATTTTGCCCCTCCAAGGGGCCTCCCATTCTTGCACAACAAGTGATGTGGTTTAAAAGTTTAGAACACACATGTTTCTGGGTTCAAATCCTGGCTCTGGCACTTTGTGGACTGTGACCTTAGGAAGATATCTTCAGATCTTTGAGCCTCGATTTCTCATCTATGAAAAGAGAGTGCTAATAATATCTTCCTTAGCAAACTCTTGTGAGTCTTATGCAAACTCAGTAATAGGCATAAAATAAATAAATGCTTAATCAACTTGTAACTAATTACAAGAAATAAAATAAATGTTGAATAAATTACAAAATCTTTTTGAAACATGTTACATTTTTAGGAAAAGGTATTTCCAGGCTGAAGAGATGGCATATGCAAATCTCTAGAGTTGGGGAAATTGCAAAGAGTGAATATAGCTGGGCTTTTGGGTTCAAAGTCAATTGCAGCCAGATATGGAAAGCAGTATGTGATGGCTAATTGTTTGTGTCACCTTGAGCAGGCCATGGGGTGCCTAGATTGAACATTGTTTCTGGACGTGTCTGTGACGATGTTTCTGCATGAGACTGACCTTTGAATCAGTGGATTCAATAAAGTAGATTGCCCTCTCCAGGACAGGTAGACATCCTCCACTCTTTTCAGGGCTTCAGTAGAACAAAAGGTAGAGAAAAGAGACCCTTTTTTCTGGCCTGCCTGCTTGAGTAAGGACATCTTCTCAACTTCTCTTGCCTTCAGACTGGAGTTTACACCATTGGCTCTCCTGGTTTGGACCTTTAAACCCAGATAGAATTACGTCACCAGCTTCCCTCAGTCTATAGCTTGCAGATGGCAGATGGCAGATCATGGGACTTCTCAGGCTCCATAATTGCATGAGCCAATTCCTCATAACAAATATGTCTTTCTCTTTCTCTGGAGGATTTATTGAAGAGGGACATGTTTAATTTCTTGCATGTTAGAATGGCAACTTTGGCAATAGGGTCTGAGTCTAAGTACCGCAATTTGAGATATGGTCTTCATTTTCATGTAGCTTGCAGTGTAATTTAAAGATAACTTGGCTGATCCTACAGGTATTTACTACTAATGTATTATGGCTGACACAATAATAAATGATCGGTTGGCATGTGCATGGTAATGACAGTGAGTTCAAGCAGTAGCCATATGCTGGTGAATTCAGCCTCAGGCTTAGAAAATTGAATATCTACTAATGTGTATTTTTAAATAAAATAATAGACCTTTAATTTGTACAGCTCAGAAAACTTGTAGGATGAAGAACTCTTCCTTTTAGCCTAGTAGGAATGGCCTCTAGTTGACTTTAGAGGAACTACAAATCATAGCTGAAGTTCCTTAATTCCTGGTAGTCAAACAAGCATATTTTAACCTATGGGCTCCTTACATGTGAAAATCCTATTGGTGGAAAATAAACTTCTGAATACAGACACTGCACACCAGATTTTTTTATCTTGCCATTCTGTGCACTTTCATAATCTTGGCCCACTCTTCAAATAACATTTTCCTCTTATTTCTCTGTAAAAACACTGCTCTTGTTCCCCTAAGGGCAATCGGTGCATTGCTGTCTCTGAAACTTGGCTCAGGATATTTCCCATCTGAGGGACTCTTCTAACTGTTCTCAATCTGCCTGGGTTGTGTTTTCCTCAAGGCTTGGATTCCATTTCCTACATGACAATGGCATTGAATGCTTCAAGCTTTCATCGTCTTAGCATTCTCCATAATTCTTTTGGATGCATGGTCTGTATCGTTCATTGGGAATTTAAGCTGCAACACAAAAAAAAAATGTCTCTCTTTATGTACATATTCTCGTTATAGCTTCAGCAGGCTGTATCTGGAAGTGTGTTAACACCTACCTGAACTGGGACAATGGGGAAGGAGAGATTACTGGGAATGGGTAGAACTTTTGGTGGGAATAGGGTTATGGAACCTGGCCTTCCTGCATGACTGGTCTTTAAGGCAGGTGCTACCCAACCCAATATGCTCAAGAGAATAATGACAGAGAGAAAAATTGTTAAGGGTTAAGTTTGCCCCTGGGCATATGGAAATTTCATTTATCTCTCTGAATCTTAGTTCTCTTATCTGTAAAATGAGGTCAAACAATATTAAAAATAAACACAAAACTCCACATCTCACAGGGCTATTGTGGAAATTAAATCGATGAACTTACATAAAGCACTTAACACAGTGACTCATGCATAATAAGCATCCAATATATGATGGGTATTATTATTATAGTCCATAAATGAGAGGCTACAATAAAGTGCTCCTGAAACTTAGAAGTGAATTACCCTCTGCGAGGAAAACTAGGAAAAATCAACACATAAAAAAACGAGATTAATCATCTGTGGAATTAAACTCTTCTAAAATGCCCGAGTCAACACTAGCTCTCAAATAGGGTAGGCTTAAGCCGGAAGAAGGAGTTCATAACTATAGTTGATCTCTGCTGGTGATGGTTGATTAGATTTGAATCTGTTTAATTCAATGAACATCCATTCCCAGTCCATTCTGTACAGAACACTGGGTTATTTAGAAGATGGGTGGGATGATACATTTGCCTTCCAAGAACTTTCAATCTGAAAGCCCAATAAAGCTTGCACACAAAACCCTCGATAATTAAAGCCAGAAGCGATCAAGGTGCTGCATGATCATGCAGAAAGCAAAAAGTAATTCTGCTAAGAGGATTGTCCTGGAGAAATGGACACCCTGAAGGAAATGGCATTGAGATAGGCACTTATAAATAGTGGTGGGCATTTTAACAGACAAATGATGGGGTGCAGATGATATTACAGACACCAGTAATTGTGTGGACACTGGGGGAAAGTTCTAAACGGAATGTTAGGACAAACTGGAGATCAACGAACCGGGGGATGGAGAAAGAGGACTCAACAAGGCAACTTTGATTTTGAACATCTTGGTATCTCCAATGACTGATACAGTAGGCTGCATGCAATAGGTGCTCAGTAAAACCTCATAATTGATTTTGTTGCCTTTCATGCTTGGGAGACATCACCCATGACCCGGAACAATAGTGCATTTGATCACCCATGACCCGGAACAATAGTGCATTGGATCACTTGATGTTAAATGTACCAGGAATTCTCAAATAACTTGCTGATGCATGTCCCGTTGTGACTTACAATGGGGCAATGCTTGATGTGACTTACAATGGGGCAATGCAGAAATGAAAATGGCAGTGAGGAAGTAGAGCAGCCCACGGGGCTACTTGAAAAAAGCCCATTTGTTTTAGGTTTCTCAATGTACCACTTCATCAATCTTATTTCACAGTCTGTCTAATTTAAGTCCATGAGATAAATAGTCTTTTGCCTCTTTTGTTGTTATGGTATAATAAAAATACATCATATTTGGTCTTTGTTCTTGGTTCCTGGCTCTGCACTCCTAAAATCCTTGGAATCTCCTGAGTGATAAAATCTAATTGCTAATTAGAGGGTTGGAACTTTCAGTCCTAACCCTGACCTTTGCTGCTGGGGAGGTTGTATTCCTGGAGAGGGCATAAAAACTGTCTCCTGCACCCCGTACCTTACCCTATGCATCTCTTCCATTTGACTCTCCTGGGGTTATATCCTTTATAATAAACCAATAAACATTAGTAAAGTGTTTTCTGAGGAGTAGCTCTGGTGAATTGTTGAAATGGAGGTGAGGGTAGAGGGAACCTCCAATTTATAGCCTGTTGGTCAGAGGTACAGGTAGCTCCTGGGATTTGCAGCTGGGGGCAGCGTTGTGATTCTGAGCCCTTGCCTTGTGAGGTCTGCACTAAATTCAAATAGTTTATGTCAGAATTAAATTGAATTGTTGGACAACTATTTGGTGTCCGAAGTGGTGTCAGGAAAAAGAAAAAGCAGCAGTTGAGAAAATGAAGACTCAGGTTAGTAATTTATCTGGGTCATGCAGCTTACATATGGGAAGTTGAGACTAGAGTCCAGGACTATAAGATTCCAGAGCCCTTAACCATGTGAGAACGCTACTAGGAAGAGGTTCGCCCCTCTGTTCTGTGAGACCTATTGGGAATCAAGATAGAATAAGAAATGGAGAGAAATTGCTCTCACTGCAAAAATTAGCAGAGAATAATGATTGAGTTTGAGCTCTAGACTTCAACCGCATGGGTCCTGTAATGAGCTTTCCTACCAAACTTGGTGAAAGTTGCTGGATGGAGCTTTGTTTCTCAGTTTCTTATGCATAAAATAGAGAAAAGAATAAAACCTATTTTATGGGATTTCTGTGAGACTTATGTGAGTTAATATCTGAGTAGCACAAAAAAATAGTGTTGACACATAATAACAACTATTATATTGGTTATAAATATTATAATAGGTTAACATATTAGTGTTACTGGATAACACCTACAAATGATTGGCTTATGACAACATGATATAACCTGAAGAAGGAGATTTTTTTGTTGTGTTTTCAGTTACTAAGGGGTAATGTCAAAGTAAGAAGACCAATTTCATACATTATATATGGAAATCAGTGCTGTTATGTTAAAGTCAGCATGGAGCAACTGTGTGGTTGAAAGTAAGATCTGGGAGGTTGAAATAGCTAATCATCACTAAACAAGAGTGGGAAACCTAATTTCCTTAGAGAAAGGGCCAGTGCATTTCCCCAGACAGGGCAGATGATCTTGGCCCCTAGAAGAACCCAACATTCCCCATGAGATGTTAGAAACGGTGGTTGGGGGGAGTTCCTTACTGTTTGGCTTCTAATTCATGTGATGATCCATAGTATTGCACCTGACATGGGCTTGGCAAATGGATGTATGGATACCTCAGCAGAAGAGAAAGGCAAGGAGGTCAGAACCAGAGAGAACAAGAGTCCCAGGAACCCACCAGATAGAAGGGAAGTAGCTGATAGCTCACATACCAGTATTGAAAGTGACAAAGAAAACTGCAGTGTCCAAGGAGACAGGAGTGTGTGTGGGAAAGTAGAGGCCAATCTAGGGGTGGTGGCAGAGAGGAGTGGCCAGGGGCTAAACGGAGTGCTATCCAGCCTCAAAGTATAGGGTTTATAATAACTAGTAAGGGTTCAAGCAGGCTGCATTTCAGGATGGGACTCCA
Organism: Homo sapiens; assembly: GCF_000001405.40. NCBI lineage: Eukaryota > Metazoa > Chordata > Mammalia > Primates > Hominidae > Homo > Homo sapiens. The sequence goes on along the minus strand of NC_000015.10, from coordinate 87,517,811 downwards.
CTAGATCAAGCATAAAAAGCAGGAACTAAGCCAGGCATGGTGGCTCACACCTGTAATCCCAGCACTTTGGGAGGCTGATCATGAAGTCAGGAGTTCGAGACCAGCCTGGCCAAGTTGGTGAAACCCCGTCTCTAGTAAAAATGCAAAAATTAGCCAGGCGCAGTGGCGGGCGCCTGTAATCTCAGCTCCTTAGGAGGCTGAGGCAGGAGAATCGCTTGAACCCGGGAGGCACAGGTTGAAGTGAGCTGAGATTGCGCCGCTGCTGTCTAGCCTGGGTGACAGAGCAAGACTCCATCTCAAAAAAAAAACAACAAAAAACAGAATCAGGAACTAGAAGACAACAACCCAGTTATTGAGGCTGGATCACCTGCACATCAGGAAAGAGCTGTGGCATTGGGCACGCAGTGCAGAGGGCACTCCTGACACTTTGGATACCAGATAGATGGCAGCGTAGTAAATCCCACTTCCACCTGCTGGTGCTTCTAAGGCACTTTTTACCCCGTCAGTGTAGACATAGAGCCTTAAGCATGAGCACCAGGCCTGAAGGACTCTAGTCGTTAATGGCTAAGGAAGGCAGAAATGAAAGCCCACACAGTTTCAAAATATTATATCTTTGAAAACAAACTTTAATACACCTTTAATTTTTGTGGGAAGAGCTAATTTCAGTCCAGTATATTTTTTTTTTTTAAATACCCAAATCTCCTCCAATTCTTTAATTTAAATTGCATGTTCTCCTTACATTACAAAGTTTAATGTAAAACTTTTTAAAGTAAGAGAGGAGCCCATACAAAGTTCAAACGAAGTTCATATAAGTTTTAACCCTCTACTGCTATGCTGTGAAATCGCCACAGGTGAGATCTGAGATCGTCCCAAGTTCAAAAAAGGAGCTACAGAGATCAGTCCTGTCCATATTCCCACCTCCTAGAAAAATAGAAAGTAGTGACTGGTTGATGCAGGCTTTCTTTTTTTCTTTCTTGATTTTGTTTTAGAATTGATTGAATTCAGGTTGGTCTTAGCCAAATCTAAGCTGTGCTTTCTTTTTTCAAAAGCTCTAACAGAATTCCAGAACACAAGGAGAGTTTTGGGGACAGTGGGGTTCTTTGAGAAGTTGGTTGGTGGATGGGTTCGCTCACTCATTCTTTCTCTCATTCATTCATTATTCTTATTTCATATTCTTAAGGCAACTATGAAGTAGATATTACTATATTTATCTCATTCTCACCACTAAGGAAATGAAGCCTCAAATGTTTTGCTTACTCTAAATGAGAACTTATATTTAGCAAAGGGGTTTGAGATTTGGGTGGATTATTATAAAGTTTATACTTTTAACCACTACACCATGGGGCCTGAGAACCTCCTACGAGCTTGACACTGATCTAGGTACTGGGATACAAAAGTACTTGCTGCTCAAGCCTTACAGTCTAGGTTTGTAGATAGATAATTATGGTAAGTGCGTGGTAAGTGCTGTGACAGACATTAGGTAGAGAGAAAGTCTTTCTAATTCACTTAGGGTCGGGGGCAGTGTTCACTGAGAATACCTTCCTTCTCAGGGAGGAAGAGGGGTCTGTAAGCTCTACTCAGGGTGGTGCAAGGGCACCATGCGGTGCAATAGTTCACTAAAATGTGTTCCTCCAGTCTAACTGAAACTGTGTACCCTTTCACTATCATCTCCCCTTTCCCCATCTTCCGTTCTCCTGCTAGCCTCTGGTAACCACTTTTCTTTTCTTTTCTTTTCTTTCTTTTTTTTGAGACAAGAGTCTCGCTCTGTGGCCCAGGCTGGTGTGCAGTGGCACGATCTCGGCTCACTGCAAGCTCCGTCTCCTGGGCTCATGCCATTCTCCTGCCTCGTAACCACTTTTCTACTTTCCATTTCTATGAGACTGCCTTTTTTTTTTTTTTTTTTTATTATACTCTAAGTTTTAGGGTACATGTGCACATTGTGCAGGTTAGTTACATATGTATACATGTGCCATGCTGGTGCGCTGCACCCACTAATGTGTCATCTAGCATTAGGTATATCTCCCAATGCTATCCCTCCCCCCTCCCCCGACCCCACCACAGTCCCCAGAGTGTGATATTCCCCTTCCTGTGTCCATGTGATCTCATTGTTCAATTCCCACCTATGAGTGAGAATATGCGGTGTTTGGTTTTTTGTTCTTGTGATAGTTTACTGAGAATGATGGTTTCCAATTTCATCCATGTCCCTACAAAGGATATGAACTCATCATTTTTTATGGCTGCATAGTATTCCATGGTGTATATGTGCCACATTTTCTTAATCCAGTCTATCATTGTTGGACATTTGGGTTGGTTCCAAGTCTTTGCTATTGTGAATAGTGCCGCAATAAACATACGTGTGCATGTGTCTTTATAGCAGCATGATTTATAGTCCTTTGGGTATATACCCAGTAATGGGATGGCTGGGTCAAATGGTATTTCTAGTTCTAGATCCCTGAGGAATCGCCACACTGACTTCCACAATGGTTGAACTAGTTTACAGTCCCACCAACAGTGTAAAAGTGTTCCTATTTCTCCACATCCTCTCCAGCACCTGTTGTTTCCTGACTTTTTAATGATTGCCATTCTAACTGGTGTGAGATGATATCTCATAGTGGTTTTGATTTGCATTTCTCTGATGGCCAGTGATGATGAGCATTTCTTCATGTGTTTTTTGGCTGCATAAATGTCTTCTTTTGAGAAGTGTCTGTTCATGTCCTTCGCCCACTTTTTGATGGGGTTGTTTGTTTTTTTCTTGTAAATTTGTTTGAGTTCATTGTAGATTCTGGATATTAGCCCTTTGTCAGATGAGTAGGTTGCGAAAATTTTCTCCCATGTTGTAGGTTGCCTGTTCACTCTGATGGTAGTTTCTTTTGCTGTGCAGAAGCTCTTTAGTTTAATTAGATCCCATTTGTCAATTTTGGCTTTTGTTGCCATTGCTTTTGGTGTTTTGTACATGAAGTCCTTGCCCACGCCTATGTCCTGAATGGTAATGCCTAGGTTTTCTTCTAGGGTTTTTATGGTTTTAGGTCTAACGTTTAAATCTTTAATCCATCTTGAATTGATTTTTGTATAAGGTGTAAGGAAGGGATCCAGTTTCAGCTTTCTACATATGGCTAGCCAGTTTTCCCAGCACCATTTATTAAATAGGGAATCCTTTCCCCATTGCTTGTTTTTCTCAGGTTTGTCAAAGATCAGATAGTTGTAGATATGCGGCATTATTTCTGAGGGCTCTGTTCTGTTCCATTGATCTATATCTCTGTTTTGGTACCAGTACCATGCTGTTTTGGTTACTGTAGCCTTGTAGTATAGTTCGAAGTCAGGTAGTGTGATGCCTCCAGCTTTGTTCTTTTGGCTTAGGATTGACTTGGCAATGCGTGCTCTTTTTTGGTTCCATATGAACTTTAAAGTAGTTTTTTCCAATTCTGTGAAGAAAGTCATTGGTAGCTTGATGAGGATGGCATTGAATCTATAAATTACCTTGGACAGTATGGCCATTTTCACGATATTGATTCTTCCTACCCATGAGCATGGAATGTTCTTCCATTTGTTTGTGTCCTCTTTTATTTCCTTGAGCAGTGGTTTGTAGTTCTCCTTGAAGAGGTCCTTCACATCCCTTGTAAGTTGGATTCCTAGGTATTTTATTCTCTTTGAAGCAATTGTGAATGGGAGTTCACCCATGATTTGGCTCTCTGTTTGTCTGTTGTTGGTGTATAAGAATGCTTGTGATTTTTGTACATTGATTTTGTATCCTGAGACTTTGCTGAAGTTGCTTATCAGCTTAAGGAGATTTTGGGCTGAGACAATGGGGTTTTCTAGATAAACAATCATGTCATCTGCAAACAGGGACAATTTGACTTCCTCTTTTCCTAATTGAATACCCTTTATTTCCTTCTCCTGCCTGATTGCCCTGGCCAGAACTTCCAACACTATGTTGAATAGGAGCGGTGAGAGAGGGCATCCCTGTCTTGTGCCAGTTTTCAAAGGGAATGCTTGCAGTTTTTGCCCATTCAGTATGATACTGGCTGTGGGTTTGTCATAGATAGCTCTTATTATTTTGAAATACGTCCCATCAATACCTAATTTATTGAGAGTTTTTAGCATGAAGGGTTGTTGAATTTTGTCAAAGGCTTTTTCTGCATCTATTGAGATAATCATGTGGTTTTTGTCTTTGGCTCTGTTTATATGCTGGATTACATTTATTGATTTGCGTATATTGAACCAGCCTTGCATCCCAGGGATGAAGCCCACTTGATCATGGTGGATAAGCTTTTTGATGTGCTGCTGGATTCGGTTTGCCAGTATTTTATTGAGGATTTTTGCATCAATGTTCATCAAGGATATTGGTCTAAAATTCTCTTTTTTGGTTGTGTCTCTGCCCGGCTTTGGTATCAGAATGATGCTGGCCTCATAAAATGAGTTAGGGAGGATTCCCTCTTTTTCTATTGATTGGAATAGTTTCAGAAGGAATGGTAGCAGTTCCTCCTTGTACCTCTGGTAGAATTCGGCTGTGAATCCATCTGGTCCTGGACTCTTTTTGTTTGGTAAACTATTGATTATTGCCACAATTTCAGAGCCTGTTATTGGTCTATTCAGAGATTCAACTTCTTCCTGGTTTAGTCTTGGGAGAGTGTATGTGTCGAGGAATGTATCCATTTCTTCTAGATTTTCTAGTTTATTTGCGTAGAGGTGTTTGTAGTATTCTCTGATGGTAGTTTGTATTTCTGTGGGATCGGTGGTGATATCCCCTTTATCATTTTTTATTGTGTCTATTTGATTCTTCTCTCTTTTTTTCTTTATTAGTCTTGCTAGCGGTCTATCAATTTTGTTGATCCTTTCAAAAAACCAGCTCCTGGATTCATTGATTTTTTGAAGGGTTTTTTGTGTCTCTATTTCCTTCAGTTCTGCTCTGATTTTAGTTATTTCTTGCCTTCTGCTAGCTTTTGAATGTGTTTGCTCTTGCTTTTCTAGTTCTTTTAATTGTGATGTTAGGGTGTCAATTTTGGATCTTTCCTGCTTTCTCTTGTGGGCATTTAGTGCTATAAATTTCCCTCTACACACTGCTTTGAATGCGTCCCAGAGATTCTGGTATGTGGTGTCTTTGTTCTCGTTGGTTTCAAAGAACATCTTTATTTCTGCCTTCATTTTGTTATGTACCCAGTAGTCATTCAGGAGCAGGTTGTTCAGTTTCCATGTAGTTGAGCGGCTTTGAGTGAGATTCTTAATCCTGAGTTCTAGTTTGATTGCACTGTGGTCTGAGAGATAGTTTGTTATAATTTCTGTTCTTTTACATTTGCTGAGGAGAGCTTTACTTCCAAGTATGTGGTCAATTTTGGAATAGGTGTGGTGTGGTGCTGAAAAAAATGTATATTCTGTTGATTTGGGGTGGAGAGTTCTGTAGATGTCTATTAGGTCTGCTTGGTGCAGAGCTGAGTTCAATTCCTGGGTATCCTTGTTGACTTTCTGTCTCGTTGATCTGTCTAATGTTGACAGTGGGGTGTTAAAGTCTCCCATTATTAATGTGTGGGAGTCTAAGTCTCTTTGTAGGTCACTGAGGACTTGCTTTATGAATCTGGGTGCTCCTGTATTGGGTGCATAAATATTTAGGATAGTTAGCTCCTCTTGTTGAATTGATCCCTTTACCATTATGTAATGGCCTTCTTTGTCTCTTTTGATCTTTGTTGGTTTAAAGTCTGTTTTATCAGAGACTAGGATTGCAACCCCTGCCTTTTTTTGTTTTCCATTGGCTTGGTAGATCTTCCTCCATCCTTTTATTTTGAGCCTATGTGTGTCTCTGCACGTGAGATGGGTTTCCTGAATACAGCACACTGATGGGTCTTGACTCTTTATCCAACTTGCCAGTCTGTGTCTTTTAATTGCAGAATTTAGTCCATTTATATTTAAAGTTAATATTGTTATGTGTGAATTTGATCCTGTCATTATGATGTTAGCTGGTGATTTTGCTCATTAGTTGATGCAGTTTCTTCCTAGTCTCGATGGTCTTTACATTTTGGCATGATTTTGCAGCGGCTGGTACCGGTTGTTCCTTTCCATGTTTAGTGCTTCCTTCAGGAGGTCTTTTAGGGCAGGCCTGGTGGTGACCAAATCTCTCAGCATTTGCTTGTCTATAAAGTATTTTATTTCTCCTTCACTTATGAAGCTTAGTTTGGCTGGATATGAAATTCTGGGTTGAAAATTCTTTTCTTTAAGAATGTTGAATATTGGCCCCCACTCTCTTCTGGCTTGTAGGGTTTCTGCCGAGAGATCCGCTGTTAGTCTGATGGGCTTTCCTTTGAGGGTAACCTGACCTTTCTCTCTGGCTGCCCTTAACATTTTTTCCTTCATTTCAACTTTGGTGAATCTGACAATTATGTGTCTTGGAGTTGCTCTTCTCGAGGAGTATCTTTGTGGCGTTCTCTGTATTTCCTGAATCTGAACGTTGGCCTGCCTTGCTAGATTGGGGAAGTTCTCCTGGATAATATCCTGCAGAGTGTTTTCCAACTTGGTTCCATTCTCCACATCACTTTCAGGTACACCAATCAGACGTAGATTTGGTCTTTTCACATAGTCCCATATTTCTTGGAGGCTTTGCTCATTTCTTTTTATTCTTTTTTCTCTAAACTTCCCTTCTCGCTTCATTTCATTCATTTCATCTTCCATTGCTGATACCCTTTCTTCCAGTTGATCGCATCGGCTCCTGAGGCTTCTGCATTCTTCACGTAGTTCTCGAGCCTTGGTTTTCAGCTCCATCAGCTCCTTTAAGCACTTCTCTGTATTGGTTATTCTAGTTATACATTCTTCTAAATTTTTTTCAAAGTTTTCAACTTCTTTGCCTTTGGTTTGAATGTCCTCCCGTAGCTCAGAGTAATTTGATCGTCTGAAGCCTTCTTCTCTCAGCTCGTCAAAATCATTCTCCATCCAGCTTTGTTCTGTTGCTGGTGAGGAACTGCGTTCCTTTGGAGGAGGAGAGGCGCTCTGCGTTTTAGAGTTTCCAGTTTTTCTGTTCTGTTTTTTCCCCATCTTTGTGGTTTTATCTACTTTTGGTCTTTGATGATGGTGATGTACAGATGGGTTTTTGGTGTAGATGTCCTTTCTGGTTGTTAGTTTTCCTTCTAACAGACAGGACCCTCAGCTGCAGGTCTGTTGGAATACCCTGCCGTGTGAGGTGTCAGTGTGCCCCTGCTGGGGGGTGCCTCCCAGTTAGGCTGCTCGGGGGTCAGGGGTCAGGGACCCACTTGAGGAGGCAGTCTGCCCGTTCTCAGATCTCCAGCTGCGTGCTGGGAGAACCACTGCTCTCTTCAAAGCTGTCAGACAGGGACACTTAAGTCTGCAGAGGTTACTGCTGTCTTTTTGTTTGTCTGTGCCCTGCCCCCAGAGGTGGAGCCTACAGAAGCAGGCAGGCCTCCTTGAGCTGTGGTGGGCTCCACCCAGTTGGAGCTTCCTGGCTGCTTTGTTTACCTAAGCAAGCCTGGGCAATGGCGGGCGCCCCTCCCCCAGCCTCGTTGCCGCCTTGCAGTTTGATCTCAGACTGCTGTGCTAGCAATCAGCGAGATTCTGTGGGCGTAGGACCCTCTGAGCCAGGTGTGGGATATAGTCTCGTGGTGCGCCGTTTCTTAAGCGGGTCTGAAAAGCGCAATATTCGGGTGGGAGTGACCCGATTTTCCAGGTGCGTCCGTCACCCCTTTCTTTGACTCGGAAAGGGAACTCCCTGACCCCTTGCGCTTCCCAGGTGAGGCAATGCCTCGCCCTGCTTCGGCTCGCGCACGGTGCGCACACACACTGGCCTGCGCCCACTGTCTGGCACTCCCTAGTGAGATGAACCCGGTACCTCAGATGGAAATGCAGAAATCACCCGTCTTCTGCGTCGCTCACGCTAGTAGCTGTAGACCGGAGCTCTTCCTATTCGGCCATCTTGGCTCCTCCAGCCTCGGTCCAGTATATTTATAAGAAAGTTTCATGTGAATCGAACAAATAGGTTTTCTTTCTGTACACAAAACCAGGGTGGGGAAGAGAAAGAATGAATTAAACTTGAGATCAGTCCAATAATTCGGTTATTTGGAAAACAGCAAGAATTTATTTGGGGCTAAGGTTCCATTATATATTGTCAAAATAATCATTCTTCTTAGATCTAAGCATTTCCTCTCTGTGCAAGTCCCTACCATCAGGTCTATGTGGAAAGCACTTCTTGACAGCAAAGAGATTCTGGCATGGGCTTACAAGCAGACATTTAACAATTAAACATTTGAAGAATTTCCTATCCTGGAGGGCTTGAAGATTACGATAGTTTCTCTCCAGAGATGTTTTGAAATGCTACCTCTGAAAACAGGAAGATGAACTAATTTCCTTGCAGAACTACAAATGGTCAATCATCATCACGCACATACTGATCAGTTACAATGTGTAAGGCACCCCAGCTAGTAGGTACAGGGCTAAATGAGGGGGTAATTCCTACTTTAAACAAACTTCCAAGCCAGTTGAGCCAATAAAAGATGCCCTGAGAAAAAATGGAAATGGTATAAGGCAATAAATTGTACATTCGTCTATCAGCTGGGGACCATTCAGGAAAATAAAACCTAGTCTTTTTTTTCTTTTTTTTTCAGACGGAGTGCCTCCCTGGTTCACACGGTTCTCCTGCCTCAGCCTTCCAAGTAGCTGGGATTACAGGCACCTGCTACCACGCCTGGCTATTTTTTGTATTTTTAGTAGAGACAGGGTTTCACCATGTTGGTCAGGCTGGTCTCAAACTCTTGACCTCAAGTGATCTGCCCACCTCAGCTTCCCAAAGTGCTGGGATTATAGGCATGAGCCACCATGCCTGGCCCTCACTAGTTCTTTTAGAATTCAGAATTTAATATAAACAGTTAGGGAGACAGGTATTGAATGACTGAAAAGGCAAAAGTGGTCATCGAGATGACAGAGGTACTAACTTCAGAAAGCAAATACCAACCTCTCAGGCTGGAGAAGCACAAGGAAGACGAAAGGGCTATTAAAGCATAGGAGCTTGGGGCCAGAGGCTTTCTGGGTTGGACACAGAGCTCTGAAGAGGGAGGGTGCCCAGCTAGTATAGGTGCTCCAGAATTCAGAGTAGGACTTGCAAGGAGCTGAGACCCGGGTCTCTGAGAGGAAGACACAAAGAAGCTAATCCTGGCAGTGTGCAGATGGGTATGAATGTTGGAGGAGAGGGGACAATGAAAATGGAATCAGTTGCTTCTGCAAGAGTAAGGAACCATTGCTGGAGTCAAGTTGCTAGGACAGGAAGCTAATCAGCAGAGAGTCCCTTCCACCTCCTGATTTCCTAGTCTCCTCTAGGGCTCCGATGGGCAGAAAGCAACAAAAAATACCTGGCAAATCAGAAATGTGGGTTGCAAAGTTCCAGCCCTAGCATTCCAACACAGAGTGAAAGAAGGTCAGTTAAGAGACAATAGCTCAATAACCAAAAGAATACCTTAGAAGAGGCACAAGGAGACACTGCATAGGGGATTTTAGGTATGATGAAACTACTCTGGGCTCAATGGTCAGGGAAGCCTCTGTGGACAGTAAGTGATCTGAACATTTTGTTATAGCTCAGGCAGATTCCACTGCGGGTCATTCATTCGTTCTATAAATAATTTAAATGCCTGTTAGGTGACAAGTGGCCTGTTAAACACTGGAAATATAAGGATGAACATGACAGATGAGGTACATGTCTTCATATAACTTATATTAGAGGAAAGAGGAAAATAAAAAACAGCAACAACCAAAACTTCAGATATTAATAAGTTCACGAAGGAAGGAAATAAGTCAGGGTAATGTGATCAAGAGATACAGGAAGGGATTGGGGCCACTTCAGGTTAGGCCATCGGGGAAGGTGGTCTTAAAGAAGGTGACATTTGAGTGGAGACTTGAATGTGAGGCAAATTAAAGATGCAAATAACTGGGGTAGGGAAGCAATCTGAGCAGCAGAAACTGCAGGTGCAAGGCCATGAGGCATCAATGTGCTTGCTGTGTCCTAGGAGCAGAAAGAAGAGCAGGGATTTGTGAAAGAGTGGCCAGGCATGAGGTGGGAGAAACAGCAAGGCACAGGCCTTGTGGGGCTGATAGAACCACTGTAGACCCTAATAATGATTTAAAAAGATCATCTTGCTGCTATGTGGACATTGGACAGTAGTGAGACACATAGGTACAGGGTAACCAACAGTCTGGGCAAGAGATTTTGGTGTTCTGGTTTCAGGTGGTAGCAATAGAGATGGTGATAAGTGACCATCTTTGCAAGATACATTTGAGGTATTACCAAAAGAATTTGCTTTTGGATTAGATTCTGATATGGTTTGGCTGTGTCTCCACCCAAATCTCATCTTGAATTGTAGCTCCTGTAATTCCCATGTGTGGTGGGAGGGACCAGGTAGGAGGTAATTGAGTCATGGGGATGAGTCTTTCCTGTGTTGTTCTCGTGATAGTGAATAAGTCTCACAAGATTTGATGGTTTTATAAAAGGGAGTTCCTCTGCACAGGCTCTTTAGCCTGCTGCCATGTAAAACATGTCTTGCTTCCCCTTCACCTTCCACCACTACTGTGAGGCCTCCCCAGCCATATGGAACTGTGAGTCAATTAAACCTGTTTCCTTTGTGAACTACCCAGTCTTCCTTAGCAGCATGAGAACAGACTAAAACAGATTCCAAGGGTGAAGAAAAAAGGAATGTGGGGGTCCGCACCATTGGATAGGTAACACTGTTACTTACATGTTTGGAAAAGTCTTAAGCAGGTTTCGGGCTGTTGGAAGAGGCATGCGGTTTGAGATATCTTTTTGGTACTCAGTAAGAAACATAGAATAGGTTGTTAGATTTATGAGTGGCATTCATTCATGGGAGGTCTAGGGCTCTGGAGACATACTCACTGGAAGACTATTGGGAAAGGATCAGCCAAGAAATAGCTAGTAAGAGATGAACGGAATAGAATTAGCTCTTGGATTAGCTATCATCAGTCTGAATTAGAGGCAGAAGGAACTCAGCATCTGTTGAGGCCAACATGGATATGCAAGAGCTTTAGTCAGTGGAGATGGGTATTTATGGCTCCCCTTATCAGATAAAAGTAGTACTGTGGTTGTAGGTGATTAATGCTTTTTGGGTCAGTGGGGCTGAAAGCAATGATAAAAGAAGCAATAATGAGGGAAGAGGGCATTCCCAGTGGGAAATACAGCCTGTGCAAACCATATAGTAGGAATTTAAAAAGTGTATTCTGTGGAACAGAGAGTAAACAAGTTAGAGAAGCCAAGGAGAAATAGGGCAAGTCCCGCATAATCTCTTAGTATGGGAAAGGTTTTTAGAATGTATTTATTCCAACCTCATATTTAGACATGGGGAAACTGAGACCTTGAGGCATTAAACACCTTCGCCAAACACACACCATTACTTAGTATCCAAATCATGACTGTAATTCTTTTCTCCTTATGCTCATCCTCCTATTATATCATGAATATTGTATAGCTCATGCTGAGAAGTTACAGTTTTAACTATAGCAATGAGAAAATACACAAGGCTTTTGAACAGAAAAATTAGGAATAGTGTAAGGCGTGCTTTGTGCAAAATTACCTCTGATGGTCATGAAGAGGAGGAGACCCAGGCAGGCCAGGTTGGCAGTGTTGGTAGTGGTCAGGAGACATGAGAAAAATCCTCCATATGCTCAGCCATTCTCCTCATCAACCTGGCCTATAGCTAAGAGTGAAATCCAGCTACAGGGAAACAGGGATCCTAGGCTAAAATGTAAAATCTAGCTCATTGCCATCCTTGTCATGATGCTGTTTTAAGTCACGTTCATTTCTTCCTTGTCACTATTATATGAGAAAGTGTGAGCAGGTGTGGTGAGCTTGGGGAGGAGGTGTGAACTGACAAATTCTTAGGAAGCCACCTTTTTGGCAGGAGATGCCTGTTAAAACTTAGGGCTGTACCTATTCAGTAACTTAGGAGAAGGACTCAACTGAAAAATAAAGTATAATACAGACACATGCACATATAGCTACCTGGACTCTAACCCTTAGTTGGATTATAAATTAGCTAGCTCATAAATGGTGGTTTCTACTTCAGGTGGAAACTGGGATATTTTGAGACTGTAAATGGACATTATTAATAATTTCGCCAGGCTGATGAGTACAAATGGGGACTGTCCCAGACAACCAGGAAATATGGTCATCCTATTTCTGTTTTTCCTTTTCTTCTCCAAATACCTACTTTTCTTGCCAAACAGGAAAACTAGAACACAAACTCAAAAACAAGAACTCAAAAAAAATGTTAACTAAACTTTCAAAGTTCTGCCTCTTCACTCATTTTTAGGTAATTATGAGGAAGTGTTTTTTAGTGGAAGATTTGAGACTTTGGAGTCTTACAGACCTGTATGCGAATCTTAACTTTGCCAGCAGCTTGTGTGACTCTAGGCAAGCTGTTTAACCATCCTCAGGTTTCACTTTTGGTCTTTGTGTAATAAAAATGATAACACCTGCTTCTCAAGTTTGTGGTGAGGATAAAGGGCATGATGCACAAAGATCTTGCACTTTAAAAAAATGTGAACTCCTTCTACTAAAAGCACTAAAGCAAATAAAGCTGCCAGAGCACTGGAAGACATTCATTTTCTGTCCTTCCATCCATCCATGCATCCACCCCCCCACCCACCCACCCATCTATCCATCCATTCCTCCCACCCACCCATCTGTCCATCCATTCCTCCATCCATCCATCCATTTATCCATCCATCTTCACCTATGAAGCCTCATAGTAAGGGGTAAAGCCATCCAGGTGACTAAATCACATTTTAGTGTGGACCTCAGTATCACCATTTTTCCCCAAAACATTTTTAAAAGGGTGAAATCCGACACTGTTCTAAATATCAAAGGCAATGGCAGCCTTTGGATTGGCTTTGACATTGCCCAATAGGATAATTACAATGTAGTTATATTATATTGTACTTATGCACAAACATAATGAAGACTTTATAATTAAATCCGTCATTGACTATAGTAAACGTATTCCACCTGACTTCTGCAATTCGTTTTCCTTTAGTCCCTTGCGAGGGAGCAGGGGTGGCGGCGGGAACCTACCGTATGCGCTCTCCAATGAACACCAATTCCTTCTAACTTCCCTTTTCTTCCTTCTTCTTGCTCCTTTGTTTTCATATTGTTTAATATGCTTATGCCATGTAGATAATTTTGTAGGTGATTTTTTAAAATTTCTAATTTATTTCGTTTTACAACGAATGCATAGGCACATTTGTTTTTGTAGTATGCAGATATTGAAACAGAGATCAGAGAGGTTAAATAACTTGCTCAAGGCTTCTCAGGTGGTGAGTGACAAGTGAACACCTTAGCCCAGGAATTCAGAGTCTGTTAGTTTGAGACATATTTATTCTTAGGTTGTTTTTATCCTGTATAATCTTGAAAAACATTACTTCTCTGAAGTGTCACCTCCTTTCATAAATTACCTGCCCTCTCTCTGGGTTCTGCAGCTTGAGCCTAATTCTTTGGGAACGTGACAACACCCTCCACAGAACAAATAAGACCTTTAGACATCCAAAGTGTCAAAATATTGTGTGTCTAGAAATCTGCTAAGTGTAACTGAAAGTATCTAAACACAAAACTTGCGTGAATGTTAAAGTTAAAATAGACTATTTCTGAATTTTCTGTTACTATCAGGTTCTGGATAAGATCACTGAAGCTGAAGTTGTCTAATCTATCTTGCTTTTACCATTAATTTATTTGTGTCGTGCCCTCTTTGCTGGTCCTCTAAGTACACACTTGTTGAGTTACTGGAAATGCAGCATTGCCATTCTCTCTGGGCCTCATGAAATAACAGAGTTGGACTAGATCTGTTCCAATTGCCTTCCAAGCTCTTACTTTCTTTGGCTTTGCTGCGACTCTCCTCAGCCTTTGCGCAACATAGCTGTGAAGTTGGCTTTGGTATGATGCTATAGGAGGACAAGATTTAAGCTTCGCCAAGGGTTCCAGGATCTGGAATTCCCAGCACAAAGGATACAAAACCTTCTTTCTGTCCTGAAGACCTTTACAATCAACTGACTCCTAGAGGTTTAGTGTCAGGTCACCCTTTGGTCACCAGTACGGCCTTTCAGATGTAGTAATCCAACATGCTCAGGGCTTCGCTTTTCATGTGCAAGAAGCTTTTGGTCACAGAAGAGTGAGTGTCTGCAGCAGAACCATTCTGGGATTTCTGGGTCTACTTACCAACACTTGCCCAAGCTCCTGTATGGCAGCTCCTGTAGCACATAATCCTTTTATTTATTTATTTACATTGAGTTGTATGTTGAGGAAAAATGAGACACACAGACAATACAACATATCTAAGAGAAAACTATAAATAAATGTCGCTTTAATCACAGAGGGTTAACTGTATGATCTTTAGCAGCTGGGAAATTGCCCAAGTGGTGGCCACCCCTCCACATCCACCTTGTTCCTACAAGAGACTACAGACTGCCCTGCTCCCCACTCACCCAGGGTCCCTCTGCTGCTGCCTCTCGTGCCTAGTTTTGAGGACAAAATAGGATAAGATTCCAGATTTAGATGTATTTCTTTCTCTCTTGGTTAGAGAAGGCCTCTGCAGCACAGTGCAGATGGGTCACCCCTCTATGGAGTGATGGTCTTTCTTCTGCTCTGTGCTAGTTTGGCTCTTGCCCCTCCTGTGAAGGTTTGGGTCCTGACCTGCTGGGCCTTTAAGATGGAGATTGTGAGACATTATTTTTCTTCTAACCTAATCCCAACCCTAGGAGTATAGAGTCAATCCAGCCTACCTCACCCCTTTTAAGGATGAAGGTGGAGGTAGGTATTAGATTGGATGTGGGCGTCAGCCTGCAGTCAGCTCACCTGGCCTCTCCCTGACTCAGCCTCTCTGGCTGACATATTTCAAGTGTTCAATGAAAGGAAAAGAGCTATATCCTCATCTCAGTTGGCTAAAAAGGAGACATCCAGGTCTCTGTGTCCAAAGGGCCCAGGGGCTGTGCTGTTTTGCCTCACTGTTTATTCATTCTATCCATTATTCCTCCTTTTCTGCAAACATTTATTGAGCAATTGCTATGTGTCAGGTAAGTTTGGTGCCAAGACTGCAAAACTGTATCAGCCATAAAAAGTAATTAAAATAATTCCACTAATTGCAATCCAGTACGATAAGTCCTCTAAGAGAAGTTTATACAAAATATCTGAACACTGAGTGAGGGGAAAGAGGGTAAATTTTTTTCTTTTCTGGTGAAGTAAGAGGGTTCCTAAAATAAGTAACCTTTGAGCTGCATCTTTTATGGTGGTTAAGAACATAGGCTTTGGATGGATAAATTATTTTGCTGCTGCTGCTAACCTATATGCCCTTGTGCCAGTAACCTAAGCTCTCCAAGACCCACACTCCTCATCAGAAAAGTAGGAAATAGAATACTTACTTCATAGGATTGTGGTGAACATGCAAGAGCTATATAAAGCACTTAGCAAGGTGCCTGACACAAGGTGACCTTAGCTGTTACTAATTTTAATGGCTGTATATTATGATTATCACCAAGGGACAGATGAGCAGGAAAGAAGAGGAAAACATTCTAGAAGACAGCACAGCCTGTGCAAAGGCATGGGGGCACCTCTTTCCTTCATGTTACGCTTAGACATGCAGAGCTACGACATACAACATCTGACCCTGGCCTGGAGGAGGTGGAGGGTGAGAGGGAGGGTACTTGGATATTTACAGAGGAGATGTGTTGCACAGGCTCTTCGAAACCCTGTTTTCCGAGTCCTGACATTGACTGCCTGACTATGCACCCTTCTCCTCCCTTCATCAGCCTTCACCCAGTGGATCATCCCATTTTCTTCCACAGACTAATCCCTTCTCCAGCCCCAGTAGACAACAAATGGATCATCTGATTGATATCTCAGTATTAGGAAATCATTATCAGGCCCCAGAAAATGATTTTCTGTTACAG